>NC_000012.12:108975279-109126794 GCF_000001405.40 Homo sapiens
CTGTAATATCCTCCTTGGGTACTTTATGTCTCCAACTCCTGCAGGACTCTGACTTTTCCTTAGAAAATTTACCCATGAGACTTAATGGCTCTACCTAGCCCACAAGTCTAAACCTCATACCACAAGAAAGTAGCCCGAGGCAGGGGCTCTGAGCCTGCCAGGCCTGGCTTTCAATTCTGCCTCTTACAGGCTGTCTGGGCTTGTGCAAGTCAATGCCCCTCTCTAAGCCTCAGTTTCCTTATCTGTAGAAGTGACAGTAATAAAAGCACCTCTTTCATAGGTTTGAGAAGGTTAAAGAGGTAATGTATGCAAAACCATTAGCCTGGCCCAAAATAAGTGCTCAGTAAATTATGGTTGTTATCATCCAATGGCAAGAGACCAGAAAGGCCCTACATTGCAAAAACACAGACCTGCAGTTATTATTATTATTGTTGTTATTTGAGATGGAGTGTCACTCTGTCACCCAGGCTGGAATGGAGTGGTGAAATCTCGGCTCTCTGCAAACTCAGCCTCCCGGGTTCAAGTGATTCTCCTGCCTCAGCCTTCTGAGTAGCTAGGATTACAGGACGCGCCACCATGCCCAGTCAATTTTTGTATTTTTGGTAGAGACGGGGTTTCACCAAGTTGGCCAGCCTGGTCTTGAACTCCTGGCCTCAAGTGATCTGCCCGCCTCAGCCTCCCAAAGTGCTGGGATTACAGGTGTCAGCTACCGTGACCAGCCTGCAGTTACTCTTTAGGAGACATTGGTAAGAAGGAGGAATATAAAAAGCAAGTATCATGGACTCAGCCCCTGGTGTGTACTAGGGGCTGTGTGTATTTAACAAAATACACAGAAAAACAGGCATTATCACTCCCATTTCGCAGGCCACAAAATACAGCCATCAAGTGCCTCACTCAAGGTCACACTTCTGGAGGTGACTAAACCACAAAAACACAGGTGTATGTGCCATGAAACTCTTCCCACTGAGCTACACAACCTTATTGCTAATATCAGACTGGGCCATGCTGTGTGGAAGGCACTCAGGCCATTCCAGAACAGTTATCTACAAAAAACAACATTCTGGGAGGCATCCTGAATTGGCAGTGACTCCATCACTGATGCAGATCACAGACCTTGGGCAAGGGATTAACCTCTCTGTGCCTCATCTTGCTCAACTAATCATAGCGCCTAGCTCATAGGTCTGTGAGGATTAAAGAGCACATGTACATTGTGCATATATTGTATGCAATGTAGGTAAAGGCCTTTGCACAGTAAATGCTCTGTAAGTATTAGCTTTTGTGATTATCATTATTATCCTCTTATCCAGCCTGGCCATTCCTCTCTCTCTCTCTCTCTTTTTTTTTTTTTTAATTTGAGGTGGAGTCCTCCTCTGTCACCCAGGCCGGAGTGCAATGGCACAATCTCAGCTCACTGCAACCTCTGCCTCCCGGATTCAAGCAATTCTCCTGCCTCAGCCTCCCGAGTAGCTGGGATTACAGGCGCCCCCACCACGCCCAGCTAATTTTTGTATTTTTAGTAGAGATGGGGTTTCACCATATTGGTCAGACTGGTCTCGAACTCCTGACCTCAGGTGGTCCACCCACCTCAGCCTCCCAAAGTGCTGGGATTACAGGCGTGAGCCACTACGCCCAGCCCATTCCTCTCTTTTAAGAGGTTGCTGCTGATATCTCCCTGACAAAAAGTGAGGGTTCTGCAGCCTCCTCCTTCAAGCCTTAATTCCAGGGAGCAATAGCTCCAATTTATTGAACACCTACTCTATGCCAGGCACTGTGTTGTTTCCAGTCCTCAAATAATCCTAGGGATGTGGGGATTGGCACCTCCTGTTTGCAGCCAAGAAAACAGGCATACAGAGTTTAAGTGATATGCACAGGTGGGTTTCAAGCTCCCAGCAACAGAATAGGATGCCTGGGACACCCTCCCAAGTAGCTGGACCTCCGGGTGAAGTAGAGTTGGCTGTAAACCTGCTAGGATATGTGAGGTGGGGATGGGACAGTGTTTCCATCAGGGCTTAATTCTTTTCTGCTGAGCCTTCGGCAGCAGGAGAAGGGAGATATCCCACAGGACACCCCAGGGGAGCAGAACTGTATGCAACAGAAGGGAGCTGCTGGGCTGCCTACCGAGGTCAGCAATGCCACCTGCCAGCTTGGGAGCCTCCACTCGCAATGCAGCTGTGGTGCCAGGATGCTGAGGATCATCATCTCCATGGCATCAGCCATCTGCAGAGAGGACGGAGACATCATGAGGCCAGGATGCTGCTTGGTGCTGGGGAAGGCTGGCCAAGTCCATAACCCCAGAGACAGAGACTGTAGCACACCCCTCTCTACCCATTGCCAAGTGCCCTGCTGCACATCAAACCACACTCAAAGCTCCAGCAGTTAAAACCATGCATTACCATTGCAGGAATAGACAAATAGACATTTTATATTATTTTCGTGTGTGGTTTTTTTGTGTGTGTTTTAAAAAATATGGGCATATCACAAACAAAGTGGGAAAACATATTTCTAAAATCTGAGAAAAAAACATTTTTATAGATGCAGAGAGACAATTATCTTTTTGGTGCAGTTAAAGACTAGCTTGTCTTTGGCTTATAGGTCATTTGTTCATGTAGAATAGAATATAATTGTCAGTATAGTTAACAAGTGTGACCTTTTAATACATTAAAACAGACTCAGAATCCCTAGCAATTAAACATCGTGTACCTTTACGAGACTAGACAGACTAGGACAGACATGGAATCTAGAAGCATGCCCATGTCTTGGGAATTTGGTATACGATAAAGGCAGCTTTTCCAATTAGGGGGGGAAATGTTGTGGGGAAATTGACGATCCATTTGGGAAAATATGTAGTTAGATCACCATCTCCTGCCATTCACAAAAATTAATTTCAAGTATATTAAAGGTTTGGCTGTACTCTTTGCCATAGCCAGGGGATTTGAATGAGGGATCATGAGAGTCTTGAAGCAGAAGGCACATTTCTAATCTGTGCATGCTTTTCTAGGGAGAGCTCTACAGCTGACATCATAATCTCATAGTAGCCCTGAGCCCAAAGAGTTGAAAGCCACCTAATTAGCTAGAAAGTTCAACTCCTTCTTGGGGGCAACTGCCAAACACACCCAGCTCTCCTCAAGCACAGATCTCGTTATCACCACTTATTACGCCACATAAATTTTGTTGATTGAAATTCAAGCAAAGGCTCCATGTGCAAAGAACTGTGTCCTTCCTTGTAGGCCATGGAAACCCAGTTGAGCAGCATGGGGGTTTCTTGGAGGCTGAGCCACTGCCCCCCAGAAATACTTGCCCAAGCCAAGCCAGTGAGAACAGACAGCTTCCACTGAAATTTTCCAAAGCCAATGGCTTCCACTGCATCTTCCACCATGAAAGTATCTGGGAAGGAGAAAGGGAGAGGGAAGGAAGGAATCAGTGCACCTTGCAGTTGTCCTAGTGTGGGGTTTTCTGGGGTGGTCCCCAGCCAAGCTAATTAAACACAGCACATGCTGCTTTTAGAACTTATCCTAGAAAAATATTCCAGTGTGAAGTGATATCCTACAACTGCAGCATTACTTACAACGGGAGAAACGGAAAAACCCAGAATGTCCATCAACAGGAGTTGGCTAAATAAATTAAGTAGATATTATACATATATAAATTATTAAATATCCACATTATGAAATATGACCCAACAGTTAACAAGAATGTGCAGATATAGAAAGATACACAAAGTATATTGTTAATTAATGTTTAAAAATAAAACAAGATCGACAACAAGGTATTTAGCATGGTTCTATTCTTGGAAATGTACGCATGTGGGTGTACATGTATCTATCCGTAGAATATATACAAGGCTTTGAATTATGGTTTAATTTGTTTGTCAGAGGGAGGAAGGAAAAAATTATATGAGAATTAACTTTCTTCCTTTTACAATGTATTACTTCCATGGCCAGAAAAAAAAGAAATACTTCTTTGTTTTGTTTTTGTTTTGAGACAGTGTCTCGCTCTGTTGCCCAGGCTGGAACTCGGTGGTACAATCATAGCTCAATGCAGCCTCTATCTCCTGGGCTCAAGCCATCCTCCTGCCTCAGCCTCCCAAGTAGCTGGGACTACAGGCACATGTCACCATGCCCAGCTATTTTTTTTCTATTTTTTGTAGAGATGAGGTCTCACTATGTTACCCAGGCTGGTCTTGAACTCCTGAGCTCAAGCTGTCTTCCCACCTCAGCCCCTCAAAGTGTTAGGATTACCGATGTGAGCCACCATGCCCGGCCTGAAATACTTTTGAAAGGTACAATTCCATCTGCACTCCGATGGAAAGATGTGCACACTATATTGTTAAGTGAAAAGCAAAAGTTGTGGAAAGGTATGTACCAGAGGAGCTGTCTTTGTGATAAAATGTATATACGTGTGTGTGTGCCAAGCAGGGGAAGTAAGACTGAGTGGACATCTTACAAACTGCTTACCAGGCTCATCTTTGAAAACAACACTCACTTTCCTACTTTGAGAATTTCTTTAATGTCTGAATGCTTTCCAAATAAACAAGTGTTATTTTTATGCTCAGAAAAAAACACAGATATAATTTATAAGCTAATAAGTGTTTTTGAAACATACTAAAAGACGGCCGGATGCTGTGGCTTATGCCTGTAATCCCAGCACTTTGGGAGGCTGAGGCAGGAGGATCACTTGAGACCTGGAGTTTGAGAGCAGCCTGGGCAGCATAGTGAGTCCCCATCTCTACTAAAAATATTTTTAAAAAGTAGCTGTGAGTTGTGGCTCACGCCTATGGTCCTAGCTACCTGGGAGGCTCAGGGAGGAGGATGACTTGAGCCAGGAAGGTTTCAAGGTTGCAGTGAGCTGTGATCATGCCACTGCACTCCAGCCTGGGTGACAGAGTAAGATTCTGTCTCAAAATAAAAAAAATCCAAAAAACAAAACTAAACTAAATTAAAACACTAAACCCAATATGTTATGCTGGATTGTATCTGGGAATAGCACAATTGCAATGACTGGTGAAATCCGAATAAAGTCTGTAGTTGAGCTAATAGTAGCACACCAAGGTTAATTTTTTTAGTTTAGTTGTTAACATTAGGGGAGGCTGGGTAAAGGGTATGTGAGAAATGTCTATACTATATCTGCAATTTTTTTGTAAAGCTAAAATAATTCCAAAATGAATAGTTAATTAAAAAATAAAAATACAGCCAGGTGTGGTGGCTCACGCCTGAAATCTCAACACTTTGGGAGGCCAAGGCGAGCAGATCACCTGAGGCCAGGAGTTTGACACCATCCTGGCCAACATGGTGAAACCCCGTCTCTACTGAAAATACAAAAAATTAGCTGGGCGCGGTGGCGGGCGCCTGTAGTCCCAGCTACTCAGGAGGCTGAGGCAGGAGAATGGCGTGAACCCGGGAAGCGGAGCTTGCAGTGAGCCGAGATTGCGCCACTGCAGTCCGCAGTCTGGCCTGGGCAACAGAGCGAGACTCCGTCTCAAAAAAAAAAAAAAAAAAATTAGCCAGGTGTGGTGGCGCATGCCTGTAGTCCCAGCTACTCAGGAGGCTGAGGCAGGAGAATCGCTTGAACCCAGGAGGTGGAGGTTGCAGTGAGCTGAGACCGTACCACTGCACTCCAGCCTGGGTGACAGAGTGAGTTTCCATCTGAAAAAAATAAAAATACTAAAGGAGGATGCTGGGTGGCCCCGTGGGTGACCTCCGAGGATCTCATCAGCCCCTGCTGGGAGGTGTCATCTTTTTGGAATTTCAACCATGGGCTTTGTATGTCAATCATAATTTTCTCCAGAAGTGTGAGCTGGCGTTGATCACATTAGCAGGTTGTGGTTTCCTCCAGCAAAAAATATCATCCACAAGAAGAACAGTAGTGAGACTATTGTGGGGCATTTACTGGGTGCTCACTACCTGCAAGGCACTGTGCCGAAAGCTAGATGTGCATTATTTCATTTAATCCCCATCACAATCCTATGAGTTAAGGCCTAGTAGTAGCCCCATTTTACAGAGGAGGATATGGACTTGCCCTGTGTTTCACAGAGTTGGGAGTAGAGCCCAGATCAGCCTGAGAATAAAGCCTCAGCTTCCCTCCATCCCCTGTCATTGCCACCTTATCTCTGCCAACAATAGGCCTTGCATTCAAGTCATTAGTCCTCTCTTAGATTTGGAATCTGAGGCTTTTCAGGAATGCATAGAATGTTTTCATCCATCAGCAACAAGAAGTGAGGAAAGCTGGAGACCAGGTCCCACAGCACCGCCTCAGAGTCAGAACAAGGTCGTGGGTAAGAATGTGGGCTCTGAGGCCAGATTGCCTGGGCGTAAATCCAAATTGGCTAATTCCTAGCTGTATAACCCTCAGCAAGATACTTAACCCTTCTGTGCTTCAGTTTCCTCACCTGCAAAATGGGGAAGATGTTGGTAATAGATCCAATTGGAACTGTTGTGAGGATTAGATGGATAAAACATGTAAACTGGTTAGAGCAGTGCCTGGCACATAATAAATCCTCAGTCAATGTTAGCTACTCCCATACCATCATCAGTGTCACCATTACTATCACACTATCATCATAACCAACATCATCACCACCATTGTCATTATACTGTCATCCCCACCATCAGCACTATCACCATCGTCTTCACTATCAGCATCACCACCACTATCATCACCATCATCACCACCACCGCCATCATCTTCATCATCATCACCACCATCATCTTCATCATCACCACCATCATCACTACCATCATCATCATCACCACCATCATCATCACTATCATCATCATCGTCACCATCATAACCACCATCTTCATCATCATCACTATCATCATCATCACCATCGTAACCACCATCTTCATCATCATCATCACTATCATCATCATTGCCAACCTTATCATCACCATCTTCATCCTATCATTATCATCACCATCATCATGATCTCCATCATCATCTTCATCACCATAATCATCACTATCACCATCATTATCACCACAATCATCATCATCACCACACTATCATCACCATCATCACCACCACCACCATCATTTTCATCATCATCACCATCATCATCATCTTCACCATCATCATCATCACTATCATCACCACTGCCATCCTTATCACCATCTTCATCACTATCATCATCATCACCATCACCATCATCATGATCACCATCATCATCATCACCATAATCATCACTATCAACATCATTATCACCACAATCATCATCATCACCACCACTATCATCACCATCATCACCACCACCACCATCATTTTCATCATCACCGTCATCATCGTCACCATCATCTTCACCATTATCATCATCACTATCATCACCACTGCCATCCTTATCACCATCTTCATCACTATCATCATCATCACCATCACCATCATCATGATCACCATCATTATCATCACCATCATCATCATCACCATCATCATCACTGTCACCATCATCATCATCATCACTATCATCATCACCATCATCATCATCACTATCATCAACATCACCACCATCATCATCACTATCATCATCATCACCATCATCATCATCACCATCATCATCACTGTCACCATCATCATCATCACTATCATCACCACCATCATCATCATCACTATCATCATCATCATCATCATTGCCATCCTTATCATCTTTCATCACTAGCATCATCATCACCATCACCATCATGATCACCATCATCATCATCATAATCATCACTATCACCATCATTATCATTGTCACCATCATCATTATCACCACCATCATCATATCATCATCATCACCACCATCATCACCATCACCATCATCACCATCATCATGATCACCATCATCATGATCACCATCATCATAATCACCATAATCATCACTATCACCACCATCATCATCACCATTGTCATCACCATCATCACCATTGCCATCTTTATCATCACAGTCTTCATCACTATGATCATCACCATCACCATAATCATCACCATTATCACCATCATCCTCACCATCATCATCATTACTATCATGATCATCACCATCATCATTGCCACCATCATCACCACCACCATCATCATCATCATCATCACCATCATCATCTTTGTCACCATTATCATCATTGTTATTGCCATCCTCAGCCAAGTGTTGTGCATTGATGCTGACTGGCAGGGATTGTGATGTAACCTTGCCTGCTGAAGTAAGCTATGTAGGCTCAGCTCCCACTTCCAGCTCCACCCCTTGGCCCCCTGGGCCCTCCCAACTGCCCCTTCACATTACCCCTCTGAAATTGCCTGCTGGGTAGGCAACCTTGACCGTGGCCCAGGCTGATTCCCCAACTGCAGGGCCCTCTCACCATCAGTGGGATTGGCAAACTCCTTGGGCACAGCTGCCCCATCATCCAGCTCCACAGCCTCTAGGCCCACGTGGACCCCTTCAATCTGGACTTCATGCTCTCCTGAAGCCGTGTCGTCCTCTGACCTTGCACTCTCGCCTGTGCGACGGAATTTCACAACCCTAGAGAACAGAACAAATCTGGTCAAGATGGCTAAAGCTTCCCCCAAATGGCCTTGCTGCACAGCTCTAGTGACCAGGACAGGTGAAAGACTTCTTCTCATGGTTTGGAGAGTTGATGGATGGGGGTTAGCATTTCTATTGATTTGGACTGGGGTTGGGGAGAGTAATAACTTCAAGAGTTATAATATCAGGACTGCCATATACAGTTGAGCAGATTGGGCACTGCCCAATTCCAGGGTTTCCTATTCACAAAGTAGGTTATGTGATTGAGGATATCTTTGTTTTAGGCCAGAATACTGTTTGTGAGTACATTTGTTTCAGATTTTAGACTCATCTGTCTATATCTAACATTTTGGTCATCTAAAGGTCATGTTAGGCCCACAAAAAGTTGCTCACACCATATTTCTAAAAGTTTAAAGTGGATGCCATTTTTTAGAATAGAGACAAGGTTTCACTATGTTGCCCAGTCTGGTCTCAAACTCCTGAGCTCAAGTGATCCTCCCTCGTCAGCCTCCCAAAGTTCTGGGATTACAGGTGTGAGCTACCACGCCTGGTGCCAAAATTTTAAAATTGGGAAAATTCACATAAAAAGCCAGAATCCCAATGTCTCTTGAAAAAGTAGAATATCTCGCTGTCTGGAGCCCACATTCCTGCATTGGAATTGTGCTAGGTCTGGGCAGTGGTGGTCCCCGGCCCACCCCAACCCCTGTTTTAGATGGGTCATGCACTCCACAGTTGACCACTGTCTCATTATCTCCAGCCCTAAGGGTCTTTTGCCAGTTATCCTTGCACTTGCTCTGTGTTCCTCTCACTTGGCACGTGGCCCCATTTGTCAGGCCCTGTAGACATTTGAGTTTGAGACCCCATGGGCCCCACTCTTATGCAATATGTCCTTCAAACTATGCTGTTTCTTGTTCCTCTGCAAGAAGCTTTGATTTTTCTGGGCAGTAGTTTCTTCATCTGGGACTCCGGGGCAAAATTACCTGTCTCCTTCCAACTTTCTCACTCCCAAACACAAAATTCCTGCTGTCTCCCAGCCCTAGGGTGGGTTTTGGGGTTATAGCACTGAAAAGACAGATGTGTTCTGACCTCACAGTCTCTCAAGGGGATAGTGATACCGAATGTGCAAGTCCTTTCTATCACAGCTTTGAGTCCTCATAGACTTTTTGAGGAAAGTTTGGGGTGCTGGGTACAGTGGATCATGCCTGTAATCCCAGCACTTTGGGAGGCTGAGGAGGGAGGATTGCTTGGGCAAAGGAGTTCAAGACCAGCCTGGGCAACATAGTGAGATGCCATCTCTACAAAAAAGAAAAAAATTAGTTGGACATGGTGGTGTGTGACTTTGGTCCCAGCTACTTGGGAGGCTGAGGTGGGAGGATCACTTGAACCCATAAGGGTGAGGCTGCAGTGAGCCGTGATCATACCACTGCATTCCAGCCTGAGCAACAGAGAGAGACCCTATCTGAAAAATAAAAAGAAAGAAACAAAGAAAAGAAAGAAAGAGAGAGAGAGGAGAAGGAAGAAAGAAGAAGAAAGAGAGAGAGAAAGAAATAAAAAAGGAAGGAAGGAAGCAAGGAAGGAAGGAAAGAAAAAATAAAAGGAAAAGGAAAAGGAAAATAAAAAAGTCTGGCTGGGCATGGTCACTCACGCCTATAATCTCCACACTTTGGGAGGCTGGCGTGAAAGGGTCACTTGAGTCCAGTAGTTTAAGACAAGCCTGGTTGACATGGCAAAACCCCATCTCTACAAAAAATACAAAAATTAGCCAGGCATGGTGGCATGTGCCTGTGGTCCCAGCTACTTGGGAGGCTGAGGTGGGAGGATTGCTTGAGCCCAGGAGGTGGAGGTTGCAGTGAGCCAAGATTGCACCACTCCCTCCAGCCTGGGTGACAGAGCAAGATCCTAGGATTTTATTTGTTAAGAAAAAGAAAAAAGTCTGGAGTTACATGGGCATGAATAGCAGAGGTAGTATATGAGCAGATGGAGTACACATTTGATCCATGTTTTTAAAAGGTAAAAAAAAGAGAAATATTTAAGTTCAAAATACTGCTATTATTATTAACGATTGCATCATTCCATGTATTTCACCAGAGTAACTGTTGTGCTGGCATAGAAAGGGTAAATCTCTGGATTTCAGAAGCACAGGGAACATAACCTGCTTGTGAAGTTCTAGAAGAGAAAAGACAGATTAAATCACAGTAATTCTGTAAACACCTGAAACTCCACTCCTTGGCAAGGCTGGGCTTGGAAAACCTGAGCTGTCAGGCTCGTCTTGGCAGGGAAATGCAGGGCCCAGCACAGGGCTGGCAGACAGACTGGTGGGGTTTGAAGCTTGGTGCTAACATTTCACCCCCTCTACCACAGTCACCTCTAATAGAATCAAGTTTGTGCTCTGTGCAAGTTCCAGCTGTTTTCTGTGCACTCGATCTGCATAGCACCACTCTGAAGTTCATATTATTATCACCATTTTACAGACAAGAACACTGAGGTCCTAGAAGTCACATGGCTTGCCCACAGTCCCATAACTAAACAGGCATGGAACCGGGATTCAACCACAGGTTTATCTGGCTTAAAACACTGTATTCCTGGCCAATGAGAGGGTAACACCTCTTCAGACTCTTCCATTGCTTCCCATTTACTCTATTTTTTAATAAAGATATTTTATTTTGAGATATTTCAAGCATATAAAATTACATACATAACAATGAGAGAAATATCTTTGTTTCTGCTGTTTAACTAAAGGATTAGACTATTAGGTTGACCCATGTGAAATCGCCAACATTTGTCCCTAGTTTACTTGAAGCCATCCTGTCTCCATCGCTCACATCTTCATAGGCATTTCACATTTTAAAATAGGCAAAGGACTTCAAGAGACATTTCTCCAAAGAAGACATGCAAGGGGCCAATAGGCACATAATAAGTTGCTCAATATTACGGAAATGCAAATCAAAATCACAATGAGATACCATGAGATGCAGGTTCTCACTCTGTCGCCAGTGCTCTTCTTTGATCGGGGAGGGGGGGGTCTTTATAGGCATCATTATTTGATTTAATGCTCAGAGTAAACTTGAGAGGTGGAGACTATTATTATCCCCACTGGATAAGACAAACACATAGTCACTCTGAGCCTCAGTTTACCTCTTCTATACATTGGTGTGATAGTTGTGCCGTAAGTCAGGTGTCCTAGAAGAAAATCGTGAAACAGGGATTCTTTTTCTACTGTGGTAAAATATACATGCCATATTAAAATACAAAATTTGCCATTTTAACCATTATAAGTGTACAATTCAGTGACATTAAGTTTCACCTGAAACTCTGTACCCATAGAAATCAATGCTCCATTTTCCCCTATTCAGCCCTGACGAGCACCAATCTACTTTCTGTCTCTATGAATTTGACTCCTCTAGGGATCTCAGATAAGTGAAATCATACAGTAATTTTCCTTTTGTGTCTGGCTTATTTCCCTTAGCATAATGTCTTCAAGGCTCATCCAATGTTGCAGCACATTGCAGAACTTCCCTCCTTTTTAAGGCTGAATAATATTCCATTGTGTGGACAGACCACATTTTGCTGATCCATTCATCTGTTGATGGACAGGTTGTTTCCATGTTTTGGTTATTGTGAATAATGCTGTAATGAACATGAGTGTACAAATATCTATTTGAGTTCCTGCTTTCACTTATTTTAGATATAGACCCATAAGACGAATTACTGGATGAAAGGGTTATTCTATGTTTTATTTTTTGAGGAATTGCCAGAATGTCTTCCACAGTGGCTGCACCGTTTTGTATTCTCACAAGCAATGCACAAAGATTCCAATTTCTCCACATCCTTGCCAATACTTGTTATTTTCCATTTGCTTGATAACAGCCATCCTAATGGGTGTGAGATGGTATCTCATTGTGATTTTGATTTGCATTTCCCTAATGTTGAGCAACTTATTATGTGCTTATTGGCCCTTTGTACATCTTTGAAGAAATGTCTATTGAAGTCCTTTGCCTATTTTAAACTTGGGTTGTTTGACTTCTTGTTGTTGACTTGTACTTCTTTCTGTATTCTGGATATAGATCCCTTATCAGACATATGATTTGCAAACAATTTTTCCCATTCTTTGGATTGCCTTTTTACTCTATTGATTGTGATCGTTGAATGCACCAAAGTTTGAAAAAAAAAATTTTAATACAGGGTCTCACTCTGTCACCCAGGCTGGAGTGCAGTGGCGTGATCATGGCCCACTGCAGCCTCGACCTCCTGGGCTCAGGTGCTCCTCCCACCTCAGCCTCTTGAGTAACTGGGACTACAGGTGCACACGGCCATGCCTGACTAATTTTTTTTTCTTTTTTTGTAGAGATGAGTTTTCACCATGTTGGCCAGGCTGATCTTGAACTCCTGAGCTAAAGCGATCTACCCACCTTGGCCTCCCAAAGTGCTGGGATTACAGGTGTGAGCCACCACGCCAGGCCAAAAGTTTTAAATTTTGATGTAGCCCGATATATCTACTTTTATTTTTATTATCTGCTCTTTTGGTGTCATACCCATGAAATCATTGCCAAGTCCAGATCATAAGGCTTTTCTCCTATATTTTCTTCTCAACTTTTATGGGTTTAGGTCTTTGATCCATTTTGAGTTAATTTTTATATATGGTGTTAGGTAAGAGTCCAACTTCATTCTTTCACATACGGACATCCAATGTTCCTAATACCATCTGTTTAAAGACTGTCCTTTCCCCTACTGAGTGATCTTGGCACCATTTTGAAAATCATTTAATCAAATCATATGATTCGAGAATTTATTTCTGAGCTCTTGATTCTATTCCATTGATCTGTATGTCTATCCTTAAGCCACACCCAAGTAAGTAGTAGTAAGTTTTGAAATTGGAAAGTGTGAGACCTTTAATTTTGTTCTTATTTTTCAAGATTGTTTTAGTTATTCGGTGTCCCTTGAGAGATTCTATATGAATCTTCAGGTAGATTTCCCTTTATTTCTTCCTTTCTTACTTCTTTTCTCTCTTTTTTTTTTTTTTTTTTTTGAGACCCAGTCTCGCTGTGACACCCAGGCTGGAGTGCAATGGCATGATCTCTGGTAACTGCAGCCTCCGCTTCCCAGGTTCAAGTGATTCTCCTCCCTCAGCCTCCTGAGTAGCTGGGACTACAGGCGCATGCCACCACACCCAGCTAATTTTTGTATTTTTAGTAAAGACGGGGTTTCACCATATTGGCCAGGCTGATCTCGAACTCCTGACCTCAAGTGATCGGCCTGCCTTAGCCTCCCAAAGTGCTGGTATTACAGGCATGAGCCACCATGCCCACCCTCCTTTTTTTCTTTTGAGACGGAGTCTCGCTCTGTTGCTCAGACTAGAGTGCAATGGCACTATTATAGCTCCCTACAGCCTCAAACTCCTGGATTCAAGTGATCCTCCTGCCTCAGCCTCCTGAGTAGCTGGGACTACAGGCACGCACCACCACCACACCTAGCTTTTTGTTAGTTTGTTTCGTAGAGACAGGGGTCTCATTATGTTGGTCAGGCTGGTCTCAAACTCTTGGCCTCAAGCCATCCTCCCGCCTTGGCCTCCCGAAGTGCTGGGATTAGGATTTTTCTATTTCTGAAAACAGTGAGATGGCGATGTTTGTGTAAGCGATTTACTGAGGAAGGAGTCTAAAGAGAAACCCACTGGAAAGCAGGAGGAAGCTAAGAAAGGATGTAGCTCCTGCTGAAGTCTAGCCTCAGCCTGACCCCACAGGGAGCTCTGAAGTGTGAATCGTGACACTGAGAGGGTCCCGCCCGGGGGTGTGAGGGCTGGGCTGTTACACCCTCATATGAGTCAGTCCTTGGCCACACCACCCCCAGCAGTGGAGAGCATAATCTCCCAGACAAGGTGGCTCCCCTCCACCAGGGGCAATCCAGAGGGAGCTACAGTTGTGAACCAACACTGGCAATAGCTGGGGGAGTGCCAGCCTGCTAAAGGAATCTGTAAAGAGCACCAACCATATCTGCTACAAAGAAGTTCCTGCAGAGTTATTATACAAATTAATTGTAAAGCACGAGACAAATGTGAGGGATTCATCACTGAATTCCCCTTCCTCGAACTCCTTGGATAATAGCCCTCAAACCATGCAACTAGTTATTGAGCATTTGCTATAAGCCAAGAGCTATGCGAAGCCCTTTATATTATCTCCTGCTACCTTAACAATCAACTTATGAATTAGGTACAGTTATTATACCCATTTTATACATGAGGAAATGGCTGCTCAGGTTACAGCAGTTGCCCTAGGTCACACAGCTTGAAGGAGCCGAGGCTTCAGTTTGGTGGTCTTTGGTAATAGCGCCTTCAGTCCTAATCACTGGGCGTCAGGTCAGTGCCTCTCCCAAGCATTCACATATCTCAGGAATGAATGCAAGGTCTAAACTGAGCTGGCTTGTGTGGGCAGGCTTGCCAGAGAGTGGAAAACAGCGTGTGTTCTGGAGCAGGAATCAAAAGGCACAGCTCCATCCATGTCCCTACAAAGGACATGAACTCATCCTTTTTTATGGCTGCATAGTATTCCATGGTGTTTATGGCTGCATAGTATTCCATGGTGTATATGTGCCACATTTTATTAATCCAGTCTATCATTGATGGACATTATTCTCAGCAAACTATCGCAAGGACAAAAAACCAAACACCGCATGTTCTCACTCATAGGTGGGAACTGAACAATGAGAACACTTGGACACAGGAAGGGGAACATCACACACCGGGACCTGTCGTGGGATAGGGGGAGGGGGGAGGGATAGCATTAGGAGATATACCTAATGTAAATGACGAGTTAATAGGTGCAGCACACCAACATGGCACATGTATACATATGTAACAAACCTGCACACTGTGCACATGTACCCTAGAACTTAAAGTATAATAAAAAATAAAATAAAATAAAATAAAACAAAACAGAAAAATAAATAAATAAATAAATAAACAAACAAAAACAAAAGGCACAGCTCCATTCCAGCCTGACTGACAGCTCTTTGGACTGTCACTTGAGTCCAGGGGTTCTTGAACTGGATGCAGCCTCAGAACTCCCACGGGGCTGGTCACGACATGGATGGCTGGGCCCCGCCCCCAGAAGGCCTGATTCAGAAGGTCTGACCTGGGGCCAAACCTTTACACTTTGAGTGCATTCCCAGATGCTGCTGGCATTGCTGATCTGGGGACTGCTCTTCTCGTTCATCAGAGGCAGGCAAGCGATTCTGCTGTCCCCCTGCCCTCAACCCCATCGTGAAGCAGAAGCACTGAGGGACTGAGCCCCGAGGAGTCTCCACTCTCTTGTTGGCTGAGCTGGGCGTCTACAACTCACCGTCCTACCCTGAGAGACCTATGACACAGGACTCAGGCAAACATCCTGCCGTCTGGAGCTGGGGCATCCCTTGCAGCTGGAAGGCAGGTGTCACTTAGGAGCAAAGGCTTGGTGACAGACTGCCTTAGGCCTGGATATCTGGTTAGAAGGTGGGACCCAGGACATCTCTTAAGCAGTACTTGCCCAGCAAGAACACTGTTTTATTCAAAATAGGTATTTAAGAGGTCTGCATGGTGGCTCACGCCTCTAATCCCAGCACTTTAGGAGGCCAAGGCAGGAGGATTGCTTGAGACCAGGAGTTTGAGACCAGGCTGGGCAACACAGCAAGACCCCATCTCGGGTTTTGCTTGTTTGTTTGTTTGTTTGTTTGTTTGTTTTGAGACAGAATCTTGCTAGGTCACCAAGGCTGGAGTGCAGTATCCTGATCTTGGCTCACAGCAACCTCTGCCTCCCGAGTTCAAGCAATCCTCGTGCCTTGGCCTCCTGAGTAGCTGGGATTATAGGCATGTGCCACCACGCCTGGCTAATTTTTGTATTTTCAGTAGAGACAGACTTTCTCCATGTTGGCCAGGCTGGTCTCAAACTCCTGACTTCAGGTGATCCACCTGCCTTGGCCTCCCAAAGTGCTGGGATTACAGGCGTGAGCCATCACCCCTAGCCTGTAAGACCCCATCTCTACAAAAAAAAACAAAAAAAAAAGATTAGCCAGGCATGGTAGCACATACTTGTGGTCTTGGCTACTCAAAAGGCTGAGGCAGGAGGGTCTCTTGAGCCCAGGAAGTTGAGGCTACAGTGAGCTATGATTGCACCACTGCACCTAGCCTGGACAACAGAGTGAGATCCTGACTCTAAAGAAATAAAGAAATAAACCAAAGTAGGTATTTAGTTACGGTAACTTCTCAGGGATGCTGATAGAGATTGTGGGGGTGCTTGAAAGTCAGCGGTGTGCGTATAAACTGGCTCTCAAATACCCTCCCCCAACAATATTGATTTGTAGTATTTACCAATATCTGCGTCCTAGATACTCCCACGATGGCTTGTTTCAGCCTGTCAGTGACTAAATAACAGGCTCCCCAAATTCTTGCATATTTAACAATCCATCTGCTCTCTAGAACTGGTACCATCGGGCTCTAGCACATCACTGTTAAAAAAAAAAAAAGTCCTCAGGGGTGCAGTGGCTCACACCTGTAATCCCAGCACTTTAGGAGGCGGAGGCAAGAGGATCACTTCAGTCTAGGGGTTCAAGACCAGCCTGGGCAAAATAGGGAGACCCCATCTCTACAAAGAATTTTAAAATTAGCCAGATGCAGTGGTGTGTGCCTGTAGTCCTAGCTACTCAGGAGGCTGAGGTGGGAGGGTCGCTTGAGCCTGAGAGGTCGAGGCTGCAGTGAGCTATGATCACACCACTGCACTCCAGGCTGGGCAACAGAAAGAGACACTGTCTCTGAAAAACAAAACAAATGAACAAACAGAAACCTCCTGAAACTACTGACACATGCTACATTACAGATGAACCTCAAAAATATTACGCTGAGCAAAGAAGCTAGTCACAAAAGCTCACATAGATATGAGTCCGCTTAAATGAAGTGTCCAGAATTCATGGAGACAGAAAGCAGATTAGTGGCTACCAGGGGCTAGGGGATTGCCAGGGAATGGGGAGTCACAGCTTAATGGGTGTGGGGTCTCCTTTTGGGGTGATGAAAATGCTCTGGGACTAGACAGAGATGAGGGTTGTGCAACCTTGTAAAACTGCACACTTTAATTGATGGTTAAGATGGAAAAAAATAAAAAATAAATAAAATGGTTAAAATAGAGCCAGACATGGTGGGGGGCTGGGGTGGCACATGTGTCTGTAATCCTAGCTACGTGGATGGGCTAAAGCAAGAGAACTGCTTGAGGCCAGGACTTCAAGACCAGCTTGGGTAACATAGCGAGACCCCGTCTTTTATTTTTTTGAGACGGAGTCTCACTCTGTCACCCAGGCTCACTGCAACCTCTGCCTCCCAGGTTCAAGCAATTCTCCTGCCTCAGGCTCCCAAGTAGCTGGGATTACAGGCACGCACCACCACGCCCGGCTAACTTTTGCACTTTTAGTAGAGACAGGGTTTCACCATGTTGGCCAGGCTGGTCTCAAACTCCTGACCTCAGATGATCCACCTACCTCGGACTCCCAAAGTGCAGGTATTACAGATGTAAGCCATGGTGCCCAGCTGCAAGACCCCATTTCTAAGGGGAAAAAAAAGGTTAAAATGGTAAAGTCTACGTTATGTGTATTTTGCCTTCAAAAAAAAAAAAAAAGAAAAGAAAATCCTTAGCTCTTAGCACTGCCACAGATGTTACTGAAATCCCTTATCCAACAAATATCGAAAGAGCACCTGCTTTGTGCCAGGCCCAAAGGTGCTGCTGGGATCACTAAGGTCATCAGACGTCAATGCCTTTCTGCAGTGCTCATAGTCTACCAGGAGGGGATAAGAATTTTAAAAAGAAAAATAATGATTAAAAATGGACATCACTATATAGATGGTTTGCACATTGTAAGAAATGCTGCAAATAAAATAAACTGGGTGCTGTGAAAGGCTTATGGTGGGGGTGACATTTCACGTATGGAACCCACTAAGTGAGGGGTGGTGTGAAATGGGCTACAGAAAGGAAACTACAAGTGAGTGGGACCCCCAGTCCCAAAGAAGCAACCCCAAAATCAAAAACGTGAAGAGTCCCCTAAGGTATTCACAGAAGATGGACACATAGAGAAATATCCCAGGAAGGAAGGACATGAACGTTTGCGTGCATTCTCAATTCATCTTTAGGAATGAAGGCAAGGTCAATGGATCAGTACCCTTGACTCTGAGGATATCACAGAAAGAAATCGCTGTGTGGCCTGATCATCTTCCTTGAATACTCCTTTTGTCACATCTTCGCCGCAAGGACCGTCCACGGCTCCCTACTTCCTTCTGTGGACTAATAGTGACCACTGCAACCTTTTGGAAGGTAATTTGTGATAGCTTTCACAATGTTTAAATGTCCCGTGCTGCCACCAGCTTTGTTCTGCTGGCAATTCATTACAGGGATGGAAACAAGATGGCAATAACTTACGATACTGATCTTGGCTGATACGGGGCAAGGCACAGTGCCTCAAGCCTATAATCCCAGCACTTTGGGAGGCCAAGGTGAGCAGATCATTTGAGGTCAGGAGTTTCAAACCAGCTTGGCCAACATAGTGAAACCCCGTCTTTACTAAAAATACAAAAATTAGCTGGGCCTGGTGGCATGCACCTGTAATCCCAGCTACTCAGGAGGCTGAGGCAGGAGAATCGCTTGAACCCGGGAGGCAGAGGTTGCAGTGAGCTGAGATCACGCCACTGCACTCCAGCCTGGGTGACATGGTGAACTCTGTCAAAAAATAATAAGAATAAAGAACAGCTGATATGGACCATTAGTTTGCCATGTTTCAGGTCCAGAGTTCAGTGCCTTATGGATTATCTTATTTAATACGCATTTTCACTATCCCTATTTTGCAAATGAGGACACTTAAGCACAGAGGGGCGGCAAGCTCGCCCAAGGTCACACAGTAAGTGGCTAAGCCACGCTTTGGCAAAGCCATCTGACTTCAGAGTCTCCAGTCCAGCCACCCTGCTATAGTCCCTTCTGCTGCTAGCATGCTCTTTGCAGCTTTGATTGTGATAATAGAACACTAGAAATGATCATTAGGACAGGGGTGATTAAATGGATATAGCACATCCACTTTTTAAATGTTTTTACAGCCATGCAGGGTGGCTCATGCCTGTAATCTCAGCACTTTGGGAGGCCAAGGTGAGAGAATTGCTTGATCAAGCCCAGGAGTTCAAGACTAGCCTGGGCAACATAGTAAGACCCTCATCTCAACAAAAAATTTTTAAAAAATTAGCTGGGCATGGTGGTGCGTGTCTGTGGTCCCAGCTACTCGGGAGGCTGAGGTGGGAGGATTATTTGAGCCTGGGAGGTCAAAGCTGCAGTGAGCCACAATCACACCACAGCATTCCAGCCTGGGCAACAGAGCTAGAACCTGTCTCAAAAAAAAAATTAAAAATAAATAAATAAATAAAAATGTTAACAAATTTTTAAGTTGGCCTGTATCAAAATAGCCAAAAGGCAGAAACAACCAGCCAAAAGGCAGAAATATCCAACAGATAAATGGATAAACAAAATGTGAACAATATATACAATAGAATATGATCCAGGCTTAAAAAGAAAGGAAATTGTGACACATGTTACAACATGGATGAACCTTGAAGATATTATGCGGAGTGAAGTAAGGCAGTCACAAAAGGATTCTACCTATATGAGGATTCTACCTATGTGAGGGGACCTAGAACACTTACATTCACAGATGTAGAAAGCAGGATAGTGGTTACCAGGGGCTGGGGGGAAGGGAGGATAGGGAGTTAGTGTTTAATGAGTACAGTTGGGGAGGATGAAAAAATTCTGGAGATGGATGATAGTGATGGTTGCACAACATTGTGAATGTACTTAATGCCACTAACTGTACACTTAAAATGGTTTATGGTCCTATAATGCCAGTACTTTGGGAAGCCCAGGAGGGCAGACCACTTGAGGTCAGGAGTTTGAAACCAGCCTGGCCAACATGGTGAAACCCTGTCTCTACTGAAAATACAAAAATTAGCCGGGCGTGTTGGGTCATGCCTGTAATCCAGCAACTCAAGAGGCTGAGGGCAGGACAATCGCTTGAATCTGGGAGGGGGGAGGTTGCAGTGAGCTGAGATCGCACCACTGCACTCCAGCCTGGGCAACGCAGGTAGACTCTGTCTCAAAAAAAAAAAAATGTCAATGGTAAATTTTATGTTACATATATTTTACCACAATAAACATACACACACACACATACATACATACACACACATACATACATACATACATACACACACACACGCTGATCTGTAAGGGTCAACAGGGCAAGATTGTTGAGGCTCATTATTAAATGTGCTATAAAATGGGCTGGGCACAGTGGCTCATGCCTATAATCCTGGCATTTTGAGTGGCAGAAGTGGGAAGATCACTTGAAGTCAGGAGTTTGAGACCAGCTTGGAGAACAAAGTGAGACTCTGTTTCTCCAAAAAGAAAAAGTGGTATAGCATGGTCCTGTGAGCTAGGTCCTCAATACTCAAAAACTTACGTGTGGTCCTGGCCAGATGCCGAGGCTCATGCCTGTAGTCCCCACACTTTGGGAGGCCAAGATGAACATATTACTTGAGGTCAGGAGTTTGAGACCAGCCTGGCCAACATGGTGAATCCTCGTCTTTACTAAAAATACAAAAATTAGCTGTGCATGGTGACTCATGCATGTAATCCCAGCTATTCAGGAGGCTGAGGCAAGAGAATCGCTTGAACCCAGGAGAAATAGGTTGCAGGCCAAGATGGCGCTACTGCACTCCAGCCTGGGCAACAGAGCAAGACTCCATCGAAAAACAAAAAAAAGAAAGAAAGAAAAACTTAAGTGTGGTTCTGAACCAGAGGCCCCAGCAATCCCTTAGGAGCTTGTTAGAAAGGCAGAATCTTGGCCAGGCATCGTGGCTCATACCTATAATTCTAGCACTTTGGGAGGCTGAGGCTGGAAGATCGCTTGAGCCCAGGAGCTATAGACCAGCCTGGGTAACAAAGTGAGACCTCCGTCTCTACAAAAAATACAGAAATTAGTCGGGAGTAGTGGCGTGTGCCTGCAGTCCCAGCTACTCAGGAGGCTAAAGTGGGAGAATCACTTGAGCCCAGGAGTTTGAGGTTGCAGTGGGCTGTGATTACACCACTGCACTCCAGCCTGGGTGACAGAACAAGACCCTGTCTCAAGATAAATAAATAGAGGAGGAGGAGCCAAGATGGCCGAATAGGAACAGCTCCGGTCTACAGCTCCCAGCGTGAGCGACACAGAAGACGGGTGATTTCTGCATTTCCATCTGAGGTACCGGGTTCATCTCACTAGGGAGTGCCAGACAGTGGGCGCAGGTCAGTGGGTGCGTGCACCGTGCGCGAGCCGAAGCAGGGCGAGGCATTGCCTCACTTGGGAAGCGCAAGGGGTCAGGGAGTTCCCTTTCTGAGTCAAAGAAAGGGGTGACGGACGCACCTGGAAAATCGGGTCACTCCCACCCGAATATTGCGCTTTTCAGACCGGCTTAAAAAACGGCGCACCACGAGATTATATTCCGCACCTGGCTCGGAGGGTCCTACGCCCACGGAGTCTCGCTGATTGCTAGCACAGCAGTCTGAGATCAAACTGCAAGGCGGCAGCGAGGCTGGGGGAGGGGCGCCCGCCATTGCCCAGGCTTGCTTAGGTAAACAAAGCAGCCAGGAAGCTCGAACTGGGTGGAGCCCACCACAGCTCAAGGAGGCCTGCCTGCCTCTGTAGGCTCCACCTCTGCGGGCAGGGCACAGACAAACAAAAAGACAGCAGTAACCTCTGCAGACTTAAATGTCCCTGTCTGACAGCTTTGAAGAGAGCAGCGGTTCTCCCAGCACGCAGCTGGAGATCTGAGAACGGGCAGACTGCCTCCTCAAGTGGGTCCCTGACCCCTGACCCCCGAGCAGCCTAACTGGGAGGCACCCCCCAGCAGGGGCACACTGACAACTCACAAGGCAGGGTATTCCAACAGACCTGCAGCTGAGGGTCCTGTCTGTTAGAAGGAAAACTAACAAACAGAAAGGACATTCACACCAAAAACCCATCTGTACATCACCATCATCAAAGACCAAAAGTAGATAAAACCACAAAGATGGGGAAAAAACAGAACAGAAAAACTGGAAACTCTAAAACGCAGAGCGCCTCTCCTCCTCCAAAGGAACGCAGTTCCTCACCAGCAACGGAACAAAGCTGGATGGAGAATGACTTTGACGAGCTGAGAGAAGAAGGCTTCAGACGATCAAATTACTCTGAGCTACGGGAGGACATTCAAACCAAAGGCAAAGAAGTTGAAAACTTTGAAAAAAATTTAGAAGAACGTATAACTAGAATAACCAATACAGAGAAGTGCTTAAAGGAGCTAATGGAGCTGAAAACCAAGGCTCAAGAACTAGGTGAAGAATGCAGAAGCCTCAGGAGCCGATGCGATCAACTGGAAGAAAGAGTATCAGCAATGGAAGATGAAATGAATGAAATGAAGCGAGAAGGGAAGTTTAGAGAAAAAAGAATAAAAAGAAATGAGCAAAGCCTCCAAGAAATATGGGACTATGTGAAAAGACCAAATCTACGTCTGATTGGTATACCTGAAAGTGATGGGGAGAATGGAACCAAGTTGGAAAACACTCTGCAGGATATTATCCAGGAGAACTTCCCCAATCTAGCAAGGCAGGCCAATGTTCAGATTCAGGAAATACAGAGAATGCCACAAAGATACTCCTCGAGAAGAGCAACTCCAAGACACATAATTGTCAGATTCACCAAAGTTGAAATGAAGGAAAAAATGTTAAGGGCAGCCTGAGAGAAAGGTCGGGTTACCCTCAAAGGGAAGCCCATCAGACTAACAGCAGATCTCTCGGCAGAAACCCTACAAGCCATAAGAGAGTGGGGGCCAATATTCAACATTCTTAAAGAAAAGAATTTTCAACCTAGAATTTCATATCCAGCCAAACTAAGCTTCATAAGTGAAGGAGAAATAAAATACTTTACAGACAAGCAAATGCTGAGAGATTTTGTCACCACCAGGCCTGCCCTAAAAGAGCTCCTGAAGGAAGCGCTAAACATGGAAAGGAACAACCGGTACCAGCCGTTGCAAAATCATGCCAAAATGTAAAGACCACCGAGACTAGGAAGAAACTGCATCAACTAACAAGCAAAATCACCAGCTAACATCATAATGACAGGATCAAATTCACACATAACAATATTAACTTTAAATGTAAATGGACTAAATTCTCCAATTAAAAGACACAGACTGGCAAATTGGATAAAGAGTCAAGACCCATCAGTGTGCTGTATTCAGGAAACCCATCTCACGTGCAGAGACACACATAGGCTCAAAATAAAAGGATGGAGGAAGATCTACCAAGCAAATGGAAAACAAAAAAAGGCAGGGGTTGCAATCCTAGTCTCTGATAAAACAGACTTTAAACCAACAAAGATCAAAAGAGACAAAGAAGGCCATTACATAATGGTAAAGGGATCAATTCAACAAGAAGAGCTAACTATCCTAAATATATATGCACCCAATACAGGAGCACCCAGATTCATAAAGCAAGTCCTGAGTGACCCACAAAGAGACTTAGACTCCCACACATTAATAATGGCAGACTTTAACACCCCACTGTCAACATTAGACAGATCAATGAGACAGAAAGTCAACAAGGATACCCAGGAATTGAACTCAGCTCTGCACCAAGCAGACCTAATAGACATCTACAGAACTCTCCACCCCAAATCAACAGAATATACATTTTTTTCAGCACCACACCACACCTATTCCAAAATTGACCACATAGTTGGAAGTAAAGCTCTCCTCAGCAAATGTAAAAGAACAGAGATTATAACAAACTATCTCTTAGACCACAGTGCAATCAAACTAGAACTCAGGATTAAGAATCTCACTCAAAACCTCTCAACTACATGGAAACTGAACAACCTGCTCCTGAATGACTACTGGATACATAACGAAATGAAGGCAGAAATAAAGATGTTCTTTGAAACCAACGAGAACAAAGACACAACATACCAGAATCTCTGGGACACATTCAAAGCAGTGTGTAGAGGGAAATTTATAGCACTAAATGCCCACAAGAGAAAGCAGGAAAGATCCAACATTGACACCCTAACATCACAATTAAAAGAACTAGAAAAGCAAGAGCGAACACATTCAAAAGCTAGCAGAAGGCAAGAAATAACTAAAATCAGAGCAGAACTGAAGGAAATAGAGACACAAAAAACCCTTCAAAAAATTAATGAATCCAGGAGCTGGTTTTTTGAAAGGATCAACAAAATTGATAGACCGCTAGCAAGACTAATAAAGAAAAAAAGAGAAGAATCAAATAGACACAATAAAAAATGATAAAGGGGATATCAGCACCGATCCCACAGAAATACAAACTACCATCAGAGAATAGTACAAACACCTCTACGCAAATAAACTAGAAAATCTAGAAGAAATGGATAAATTCCTCGACACATACAGTCTCCCAAGACTAAACCAGGAAGAAGTTGAATCTCTGAATAGACCAATAACAGGAGCTGAAATTGTGGCAATAATCAATAGTTTACCAACCAAAAAGAGTCCAGGACCAGATGGATTCACAGCCGAATTCTATCAGAGGTACAAGGAGGAACTGGTACCATTCCTTCTGAAACTATTCCAATCAATAGAAAAAGAGGGAATCCTCCCTAACTCATTTTATGAGGCCAGCATCATTCTGATACCAAAGCCGGGCAGAGACACAACCAAAAAAGAGAATTTTAGACCAATATCCTTGATGAACATTGATGCAAAAATCCTCAATAAAATACTGGCAAAACGAATCCAGCAGCACATCAAAAAGCTTATCCACCATGATCAAGTGGGCTTCATCCCTGGGATGCAAGGCTGGTTCAATATACGCAAATCAATAAATGTAATCCAGCATATAAACAGAGCCAAAGACAAAAACCACATGATTATCTCAATAGATGCAGAAAAAGCCTTTGACAAAATTCAACAACCCTTCATGCTAAAAACTCTCAATAAATTAGGTATTGATGGGACGTATTTCAAAATAATAAGAGCTATCTATGACAAACCCACAGCCAATATCATACTGAATGGGCAAAAACTGGAAGCATTCCCTTTGAAAACTGGCACAAGACAGGGATGCCCTCTCTCACCACTCCTATTCAACATAGTGTTGGCAGTTCTGGCCAGGGCAATTAGGCTGGAGAAGGAAATAAAGGGTATTCAATTAGGAAAAGAGGAAGTCAAATTGTCCCTGTTTGCAGACGACATGATTGCATATCTAGAAAACCCCATTGTCTCAGCCCCAAATCTCCTTAAGCTGATAAGCAACTTCAGCAAAGTCTCAGGATACAAAATCAATGTACAAAAATCACAGGCATTCTTATACACCAATAACAGACAGAGAGCCAAATCATGAGTGAACTCCCATTCACAATTGCTTCAAAGAGAATAAAATACCTAGGAATCCAACTTACAAGGGATGTGAAGGACCTCTTCAAGGAGAACTACAAACCACTGCTCAAGGAAATAAAAGAGGATACAAACAAATGGAAGAACATTCCATGCTCATGGGTAGGAAGAATCAATATCATGAAAATGGCCATACTGCCCAAGGTAATTTATAGATTCAATGCCATCCCCATAAAGCTACCAATGACTTTCTTCACAGAATTGGAAAAAACTATTTTAAAGTTCATATGGAACCAAAAAAGAGCCCGCATTGCCAAGTCAATCCTAAGCCAAAAGAACAAAGCTGGAGGCATCACACTACCTGACTTCAAACTATACTACAAGGCTACAGTAACCAAAACAGCATGGTACTGGTACCAAAACAGAGATATAGATCAATGGAACAGAACAGAGCCCTCAGAAATAATGCCGCATATCTACAACTATCTGATCTTTGACAAACCTGAGAAAAACAAGCAATGGGGAAAGGATTCCCTATTTAATAAATGGTGCTGGGAAAACTGGCTAGCCATATGTAGGAAGCTGAAACTGGATCCCTTCCTTACACCTTATACAAAAATCAATTCAAGATGGATTAAAGCCTTAAACCTTAGACCTAAAACCATAAAAACCCTAGAAGAAAACCTAGGCATTACCATTCAGGACATAGGCATGGGCAAGGACTTCATGTCCAAAACACCAAAAGCAATGGCAACAAAAGACAAAATTGACAAATGGGATCTAATTAAACTAAAGAGCTTCTGCACAGCAAAAGAAACTACCATCAGAGTGAACAGGCAACCTACAAAATGGGAGAAAATTTTTGCAACCTACTCATCTGACAAAGGGCTAATATCCAGAATCTACAATGAACTCAAACAAATTTACAAGAAAAAAAAACAACCCCATCAAAAAGTGGGCAAAGGATATGAACAGACACTTCTCAAAAGAAGACATTTATGCAGCCAAAAAACACATGAAAAAATGCTCATCATCACTGGCCATCAGAGAAATGCAAATCAAAACCACAATGAGATACCATCTCACACCAGTTAGAATGGCAATCATTAAAAAGTCAGGAAACAACAGGTGCTGGAGAGGATGTGGAGAAATAGGAACACTTTTACACTGTTGGTGGGACTGTAAACTAGTTCAACCATTGTGGAAGTCAGTGTGGCGATTCCTCAGGGATCTAGAACTAGAAATACCATTTGACCCAGCCATCCCATTACTGGGTATATACCCAAAGGACTATAAATCATGCTGCTATAAAGACACATGCACACGTATGTTTATTGCGGCATTATTCACAATAGCAAAGACTTGGAACCAACCCAAATGTCCAACAATGATAGACTGGATTAAGAAAATGTGGCACATGTACACCATGGAACACTATGCAGCCATAAAAAATGATGAGTTCATGTCCTTTGTAGGGACATGGATGAAATTGGAAATCATCTTTCTCAGTAAACTACCGCAAGAACAAAAAACCAAACACCGCGTATTCTCACTCATAGGTGGGAATTGAACAATGAGATCACATGGACACAGGAAGGGAAATATCACACTCTGGGGACTGTGGTGGGGTGGGGGGAGGGGGGAGGGATAGCATTGGGAGATATACCTAATGCTAGATGACAAGTTAGTGGGTGCAATGCACCAGCATGGCACATGTATACATATGTAACTAACCTGCACAATGTGCACATGTACCCTAAAACTTAAAGTATAATAAAAAAAATTAAAAAATTAAAAATAAATAAATAAATAAATAAATAAAAATAAAAATAAAAAAACAAGAAATGCAGAGTCTCAGACCCTGTACCAAACCTACTGAATCAGCATCTGCATTTTAACCAGTCTCCAGGCAGTTTGTTTGCATGCTACAGTCTGAGAAATACTGTTCTAGAGGAGTTATGCTTAGACAATCATAGACATTTGGGAAGGACACATAAGAAGCCTAACTCTGGTTTCTTCTGGGGAGGAGAACTGGACGGGAATGGGAAGTTTTGAGGGAAGACACATTTTTTTTGCTTATTCATTTTGGACCCTTCTGTAATGTTTGACATTTTTAACCTGGGCATCTACTGCTCTTATTATAAATATACATAACAACAGCAACTATTGACCGTGCTCTAGTTGATGGAACAGCATGCTGCTAAGCATGACTATGCTCTGCTTTCGTCTGTGAAGTGGGAATGACAGCCAGCTTGCAGACGGTTGTGAGCATTAACTGAGCTTGATGAAGAGGAAAATTGTGAGCAATGAGGAAATATGAGCTTCCTGCAACCTGTCTTCTCCAAGTCACCTCTCTACCTTGAGTTTGGAGTACATTGACCCTTGTAAAAAGTGACTTTGAGAAAATGGCTTAGCTCCCTGCAGTTTTATTTATTTATTTTTTGAGACATGGTCTTGCTCTGTCACCAAGGCTGGAGTGCAGTCGTGCAATAAAGCTCACCGCACCCTCCAACTCCTGGGCTCAAGCGATCCTCCTGCCTCAGCTTCCACAGTAGCTAGGACTGCAGGCGTTTGCCACCGTATCCAGCCAATTTTAAAATTTCTTGTAGAGATAGGGTCTCACTATGTTGCCCAGGCTGGTCTCAAACTCCTGGGCTTGAGTGGTCCTCCTGCCTCAGCCTCCTGAAGTGCTGGGATTACAGGCGTGAGCCACAGAGCCCAACCTCCCTGCAGTTTTAAACCTGGACCTGCTCACATTTCTTCTCTGGCAAACCACAAAAAGCGAGGGCACCTTTGTTTATTAAAGTTTGTTTTGAAACAGAAATAAAGAGGGACCTTTGACATTGAATTGTACAGTACTCAGAAAGCCAGTCTACATTTTGAATCAGTCGGGTTCCTAAAAGAATTTGTCAACTACATGAGCCAAGATTTCCTGAGGGGAAAAAAAAGTAATATGAAAGAAAAAGAAAATAGCAGTGGCATATGTTAAATATATGAAGGCTTCAAAACAAGCTGGCTCACAATCTCTTGCCATTTGTTGTATATGTATATATATAGCATATAATTTACCAAAATAGCAGGGAACATTTGTTTTACATAATTTTGCTATTTAAGGAAGAGAAGAACTTGAGGAAATAGTTGTCAACCTAAAGATCTTGTTTGTACCACCATAGAATTTTCCTCGGTACCTTAAATTAGGGCCTGTGACTCGATTCAGGTATTGCTACTTTTTTTTTTTTTTTTTTTGAGACAGGGTCTTACTCTGTTGCCCAAGTTTGGAGTGCAGATCTGGGCTCACTGCAGCCTCGACTTCCCAGGCTCAAGCAATCCTCTCACCTCAGCTCCCCAAGTAGCTGGGTCTCCAGCTATGTGCCAGCATGCTCAGCATATTTTTTTTTAATTTTAGTAGAAACAAGGTCTTGCTATGTTGCCCAGGCTGGTCTCAAACTCCTGAGCTCAAGTGATCCCCAAAGTGTTGGGATTACAGGTGTTAGCCACCATGCCCGGCCTGATACAAGTATTTCATTTCATTTCATTTCATTTCATTTCATTTCATTTCATTTATTTTATTTTAGATGGAGTCTCACTCTGCCACCCAGGCTGGAGTGCAGTGGCCCAATTTTGGCTCACTGCAACCTCCGTCTCCCGAGTTCTAGTGATTCTCCTGCCTCATCCCCCCGAGTAGCTGGGATTACAGGTATCCACCACCATGCCTAGCTAAGTTTTGTAGTTTTAGTAGAGACGAGGTTTCACCATGTTGGCCAGGCTGGTCTCGAACTCCTGACTTCAAGTGATCTACCTGTCTTGGCCTCCCAAAGTGCTGGGATTACAGGTGTGAGCCACTGTGCCTAGCCAGGTATTTTAAATAAGGAAGTTTTCTCTCTTTTCATCTCGGCCTCTGGAGTTTTAGCCCTTGAGTTCAGGCTATCAGAGTTCAAGCTATCAGACTGAAAAGGAAGCTTAAGCTGTGATTATCTGTGTGTGGAATTCAGAGTCAGAGAGGTGGTCCATCGGAGTAGACAAGAGAGCCCAACTCTGGCAAACAGACTGACTTGGGTTTGAATCCCCTACCCACACCATTCAGTACCTGTGTGACCCTGGGTAGTTTACTTTGCTTCTCTGAGCCTCAGTTTTCTCACCTATAAAATGGAAATGGTAATTCCTACCTCACAGGGTAGCCATGGAGATCATAGGAGTCTATCTATCGAGAGCATCTGGAAGAGCCTAGCAGGACCATTCAGTACTTCCATAAGCATCTATTGAGGGCTGACATGCTGAGTGAGTGCTGGGGTCCAATGGAGGATGAAATTGACATGGTCCCTGACCTCGAGAAGTGGATGCTCTGGTTGGCAAGGTGGTTAATACACAAGTAAACAAATACATCACTATACATTTGCAAAGGAAATATATCTTGAGGAGGAAGCAAACAGGGTGCCAAGTGGGGACAGCAGTGGTACCCAAGGAACCCTCATGCCCTAGAAGGTGGGTGCCATTCCTGTCCCCACTTTACAGATGATAAAACTGAGGCCTAAAGAAAAAAAGTGAGTGATCAGAAAAGACCTCCCCAAGGAGAGATCAAGGGGACAAAGACAGTCCCACACAAATAGGGGAGGAGTAGAGAGAACAGCTAGTGCAAAGGCCTGGAGGTGGGACCAGGGAACAGAGGTCAGAGAGACAGCTGGGATCACACAGAGCCCTGGAGGTCACAGTGAGGATTTTCTGTGTTGTCCTAAGACCAGTGGGACACCATGGAAGGGTTTCAAGTAGCAGCAAGAGGGTGGAAGATGATCAGAGTTGAGTTTTGAGAAGGTCACTCAGCACATTCTCCCGCAAGAGGAGGAATCAATGGAGGAAAGTGGGTTGTTTTGTTTTGTTTTGTTTTGTTTGAGAAAGAGTCTCACTCTTGTCACCCAGGCTGGAGTGCAGTGGCACAGTCTCGGCTCACTGCAACTTCTCACTCCTGGATTCAAGCGATTCTCCTGCCTCAACCTCCCAAGTAGCTGGGATTACAGCTGCCTGCTACCACGCCTGGCTAATTTTTGTATTTTTAGTAGAGATGGGGTTTCACCATGTTGGCCAGAAAGGTCTCAAACTCCTGACCTCAGATGATCTGCCTACCTGGGCCTCCCAAAGTGCTGGGATTACAGGGTGACCCACTGTGCCCACCCCAGAAAGCGTTTCTTAAATATAGGTTTTAATATTATTTAGGTATGGCAAGGCTGAGAAATCACGAGATGTGAGCCATTGACAAGATATACTCTGTCATACTTACAGATCCCAAGAAGAAGGGGCATGCCACACTTTAAGGGGCACACATGGCAGCCCCAGGGTTTGTCAGGAGGCAGAGGGTATAGGGGGAGAACGTGACCAAGAGCCTTTATTGTGGTTTCCCAGGAAAGAAATGGGCAAGGCAGAGGCTGCCGGCTTAGGTTCGGTTCGTTTGAATAATTTCATCCTTCTCTGGAGCATAGGGGCTGTCCTTAATTGTCTCATGCCTGGTTCTGGGGTGATGAGGGCAGGTAGATGTGGCCTGGAGTCTGGGAGCTGGATAAAGAAGGCGGCTGGAGAGACCTGAGGCTCTGGCCTGATTGGTTTGTATAGGAAAGGCACGCTGGCAGGTGAGCTGTTTGCTATTTCTAGGAATTAGTTAACTCTGAGAGGGGCAAGTCCCTCCAGGGTCAGCAAGCCTCCAAGATGCTGAAGCATCAGAATATAAACAATCAATGGCCTGGTTAATACAAAAAGATGGCTGCAGAGGAGTCAGGGAGGCCAGGAAGGAAGCTGTGTGGCCAGTGGGAGAAGAGGTGGTGGTGGTTTGGATTAGGGGGGTTGGAGAGGTGGAGGGCTGAGGCTTTTGTTAAATATTCATCCCTTTCTCCCCAACTCTTCCAAATAGTACAAGAAGACATCTTCATAGGGAGGCTCCTCTGCCAGTGGAAGGCAGGGTTGCAAGAAGGGATCACCTTGTTTGGGGAACTCGATCAAAAACACTGATAACCAGTATCCCTCAGCTTTGTCCCAGATACCCTGGTGATGTGGCGTCTTCTGAATCTGAAACTTATCAACAAATGGAGTTAGATGCTGTGCACTTGAAGCAGCAGAGACTGCCAAGGTCACTAACATATGGACTTGCTTTGTCTCCTTCAAGACAAGACCTGGGGCACTCCCTGAGCTGTAGGATTTGAGAAGAGTCTTCCCAGGAGATGAACCTCTTCTTCAAATATTTGAGGCTCTGACCTGTGAAAGAAGGTGCCTCTCAACCTGAATCCTAACAGCAGAGCTTGAACTTCTGGGTATAAGAAAGAAGGAAGCAGATCTCAACTCAATATAAAGAGGAGCCTTATCAGGCACAGAAGTCGAGAGATGAAAATGGCTGCTTTAGGAGGCAGTGGGCTCACTCTCATGAGAGGCACTGCAACAGAGGCAGGTGTCCCTGTGATTGGCTCAGGAGTAATGATATTTAATATTTATGCATCACTTCAGCATGCCAGGTCCAAGCCTGAGTGTTATAAACTATCTTATGTAATGCACTCAACAATCATAACAGGGAAGTATTATTAATAACTCTAGTTTCAGCCAGCACAGTGGCTCATGCCTATAATCCCAACACTTGGGAGGCTGAGGTGGGAGGATCACCTGAGCCCAGGAGTTCGAGACCAACCTGGGCAACATGGCAAGACCATGTCTCTACAAAAAATTAAAAAATTAGCTGACCGTGGTGGTACGCACCTTTGGTCTCAGCTACTGGGGAGGATGAGATGGAAGGATCATTTGAACCCAAGAGGTGAAGACTGCAGTGAGCTATGATTGCACCACTGCACTCCAGCCAGGGTGACAGAGTGAGACCCTGTCTCAAAAAAAAAAAATCTCCAGTTTATAGACAACTAAGCTGAGGCTGGAGAGGTTACACCAATGGTTCCAGGTCTCCTAGATAATATGCAGTGTACTAGGACCCTGGCTCAAGTAGCTCCAAAACCCATGATCTTAACCAGTCAGCCAAAGCTTCTGTACCTGAAGCCAAGAATACCCCTGTGGAACTGATTAAAATGCTGATTCCTGGGCCATACTCTAGACCTAATAATGCTTTTGCATCTCTACAGAGTGGGGCCCAAGAACCTGAATTTTAATAAGATGTTGATGGCAGCCACAGAAGTCTGAAAGTCACCATCTGATGCCTGCCTGCTCTGAACTGGGGAGATGGGGTGTGAGGGGTTGGATGTGATGACCTTTAAGTTTCCTTCCATTTCTGAATGTGTTAGAAGTCTATAATTAATGGAAATTTTAGTTCTCTGTGGATTTTATTTATTTGCATTTTTCTGCCATCCCCGTCAACCTGAATAGCAATGAGCTTGTTCCTAGGATAGCAGACCACTAGCTTATATCCTGGACAAAAGGTAATGATAAAAAATAAATCCTAGTTAGCATTCATGAAGCCTTTATCAGGGGCTGGTAACTCTGCTAAGCACATTATAAGCATCATCTCAAGGAACCCTCATGCCCTAGGAGGTGGGTTCCATTGCTGTCTCCACTTTACAGATGATAAAACTGAGGCCTAAAGAAAAACAAGGAACTTGCCCAAGATCACCTACCAAGTTAGCCAGAAAGTCAGGATCCAAAACCAAATTGCCTGAGTTGAGTGCGCACACACTTACTCATTCTTTGACATGGCCTCAGCAGAGAGGAGTGGGTTACTCTTCTGATTGGAGAACAAAAAGGCCTGTGCTGCAACTTTCAGGGTTGGTTATTTGTCTTTGTAACTTTTTTTTTCTTTTCTTTCTTTTTTTTTTTTTTTTTTTGAGATGGAGTCTCGCTCTGTCACCCAGGCTGGAGTGCAGTGGCATGATATCCGCTCACTGCAGCGTCTGCTTCCCGGGTTCAAGAGATTCTCATGCTTCAGCCTCCCAAGTAGCTGGGATTACAGGCGCGAGCCACAACGCCTGGCTAATTTTTATATTTTTAGTAGAGACAGGGTTTTGCCGTGTTGGCCAGGCTGGTCTCGAACTCCTGACCTCAGATAATCAGCCCGCCTTGGCCTCCCAAAGAGCTGGGATTACAGGCATGAGCCACCGCATCCAGCCTTGTCTTTGTAACTTATTTATTCACTCATTCATTTAACAACCATACAGAGGGGACCCTCTCTGTGTCAGATTTGAGTTCTTGCCCCCATGGAACTTAGAGCCTTTTACCAAAGGTACCCTGAGCATTGCAGAAGATGCACACGTTGTTAAGAGAACATGTACAGGGTGCCAGCATGACTCAAGTCAGAGGAGTGAGGCTTAAAGAGAGATCTGAAGATGCTGTAGAAATGAGTGACTGCCTCCTGGATTCAAGCGATTCTCCTGCCTCAGCCTCCCGAGTAGCTGGGATTACAGGCACCCGCCACCACGCCCAGCTAATTTTTGTATTTTTTTAGTAGAGATGGGGTTTCACCATGTTGGCCAGGCTGGTCTCGAACTCCTAACCTCAAGTGATCCACCTGCCTCAGCCTCCCAAACTGCTGGGCTTACAGGTGTGAGCCATGGCGCCTGGCCCTAGAGCAGTGGTTTTCAACCGGGGCAATTTAGTCTCCTAGGGGCATCGGCAATGTCTAGAGACAGCTTTGATGGTCACAACTGGTGGGAGTGACAGTGACATCTGGTGGGTAGAGGAGGCCAGAAATGCTGCTAAACATCCTACAATGCATAGGACAGCCCCCTCACTACAAAGTATTGTCTGGTCTAAAATGTGAATAGTGTTGAGGCTGAGAAACCCTGGGTTAAAGAGTGAATGAGATACTATTAATAATTACACCAGCCTGGGCAGGGTAGCTCACACCTTTAAGCCCAGCACTTTGGAAAGTTGAGGCGGGAGGATTGCTAGAGCCCAGGAGTTTGAAGGCTGCAGTGAGCCATGATCATGCCACTGCACTCCAGCCTGGGCAACAGAGAGAGACCCTCTCTCTCTCAAAAAAAAAAAAAAAATTTTTTTTTAATTAAATAAATAAGTTAATAAATACACCAGAATAACTGACATGATCCAGGCTGGTGCCAGGCACATTCATCCAGAGAGCTGAGAATCAGTCTTGTAGAGCTGAAAATGCCCTCAAAAGTGACCCGGGCACCCCCTCGTGTCTCAAGGAAGTTAAATAAATTGCCCAAGATCACATAATCATTCACATGCAAATCTGCATAATTCTTTTAGACAGCCCAGAGAAGACTTTAGCTGGGGCTGTAAAGCCACTGTCTAGGCCAGTGAACCCTGGAATAATCCTCCCTAAGACCCAAGGCCACCCAAACAATGGCCTCTTTTCAAGGAGACTTTCTTTCTTTGGCCTCCAGACTATTGTGGTTTTTATTTTGTTTGGTTTTTCAGACTGGGTCTCACTTTGTCACCCAGGCTGGAGTGCAGTGGTGCAATCATAGCTCACTGCAATCTCAACCTTCCAGGTTCAAGTGATCCTTCTGCCTCAGCCTCCCAAGTAGCTGTGACCACAGGCACCACACCCAGATAATTTTGATTTTTTAGAGAGGGGGTCTTGCTATGTTGCCCAGGCTGATCTCAAACTCCTGAGCTAAGCGATTCTCCTGCCTTGGCCTCCCAAAGTGCTGGGATTATAGACAACGGCCATTGCACCTGGCCCAAACTGTTCCCCTTAAGTCACTGAAACATACATTCTTCAGAGGTGAAGCTGGCTGGCATAAAATGTAAACATTTTTGAAGTGAAGGGGTGTGAACAGCTTTAAGTGTGAGGTTTTCTGTTTTGTTTTTTGAGGCAGGGTCTCGCTCTGTCATCCAGGCTGGAGTGCAAGTGGCGTGATCTCAGCTCACTTCAACCTCTGCCTCCTGGTTTCAAGCGATTCTCATGCCTCAGCCTCCCAAGTAGCTGGGATTACAGGCACATGCCACCATACCTGGCTAATTTTTGTATTTTTAGTAAAGACAGGGTTTCACCATGTTGTCCAGGATGGTCTTGAACTCCTGACCTCAAGCGATCCTCCCACATTGGCCCCCACCAAAGTGCTGGGATTATAGACGAGGGCCACTGCACTATCTTATATAAGGCACTCAACAATCAGACTATTCCCCTTAAGTCATTGAAACACACATTTCTTAAGTGAAGCTGGCTGGCATAAAATGTAAACATTTTTGAAATGAAGGGGTGTGAGCAACTCTGAGTGTGAGGTTTTAAAGGCTGTGGTGGGTTCCCTTGGGGGATGCCCAGGCTATTACAATAACTCCCTACTTTTTGCCTGAAGTGAGTGACAATGATGCCCTATCTCTCTTCCTTGTCTAGGGATCCTCCCCCTCCTTTGGCCCCACTAGGTCTCAGGCGGATGGGAGCCAGCAGGAAGTCTCACGTGTGCCTTTGCCACCTCCTCTGGTCCTGTGTCTCTATGCAGAGCTTCTCCCCTAGAACTCAAACACAAATACTTGCCTGGCTTAACATGGGCTCAAAGAGTTTACCTGGGACAATTTCAACAGCAATAGTCATATAATCATTGTAGCATTATTCATAGTTACCAACCTATGGAATCGACCTAAGTGTCCATCAAGAGATGAATGGATCAAGGAAATGTGGTATAAACACAATGGAATACTATTCAGCATTAAGAGAGAAGGAAATCCACTCATTTGCAACAACATGAACGAACCTGGAGGACATTGTGTTAAGTGAAATAAGCCAGGCACAGAAAGACAAATACTGCATGATCTCATTTATATGTGGAATCTGAAAAAGTCAAACTCATAGAAGCAGAGAGTGGAATGGTGATTACCAGGAGCTTGGTAGGGGCTTGGAGGAATTAGGGAGTTGCTGCAGGTAAAAAAAATTTCAGTTAGGCTGGGCGCAGTGGCTCATGCCTCTAATCCCAGGACTTTGGGAGGCTGAAGCAGGCAGATCACCTGAGGTCAGGAGTTCAAGACCAGCCTGGCTGACATGGCAAAACCCCGTCTTTACTAAAAATACAAAAATTAGCCGAGTGCAGTGGTGGGTGCCTATAATCCCAGCTACTCAGGAGGCTGAGGCAGGAGAATCGCTTGAGCCTGAGAGGTGGAGGTTGCAGTGAGCCAAGATCACGCCACTGCACTCCAGCCTGAGCAACAGAGCGAGACTGTCTCAGAAAAAAAAAAAAATCAGTTAGACAGGAGAAATAGGTTCAAGAGATCTATCGTACAACATGGAGACTATAGTTAATAACAATTTAGAGTATTGTATACTTGAAAATTGCTAAGAAAGGAGATTTTAAGTGTACTCACCACAAAAAAGGATGTGAGATGATGCATATGTTAATTAGCTTGATTTAGCTATTTCACAATTACACGTATTTCAGAACAACATGTTCTACACCATACATATGTAATTTTTATTTGTCAATTTAACATTTTTTAAAATATTAAAATAATTAAAAAAATTTCATGTAATCAGTAGTCAAACTGCTGTTCTCCCAACCTCCCTGATTTAGTCAAAGAAAATAAGGAAATACGGCCAGGTATGGTGGTTCAAGCCTGTAATCCCAGCACTTTGGGAGGCCAAAGCAGGTGGATTGTTTGAGTCCAGGAGTTTGAGACCAGCCTGGACAACATAGCGAAACCCCGTCTCTACCAAAAATATAAAAAATGAGCCAGGCGTGGTGTCATGTGCCTGTAGTCTCAGCTACTGGGGAGGTTGAGGTGAAAGAATCAGCTGAGCCCAGGAGGTTGAGGCTGCCGTGAGCCATGATTGTGCCACTGCACTCGAGCCTGGGCAACTGGAGTGAGAGCCTGTCTTAAAAAAGGAATATGGGGAAGCAGAAAATAGACATGAAGAAACAAAGCTATGTCTGGTCTTTCCAGGTAGACTGGGCTACACAGTTGCTAAAACTTAATAGTGGTTCCACTGTCAGGGAAAATAACACAGCCGACAGACAGATTTTTCTGGTTTTTCATTCATGAAGTGTTCCTAATCATTTGGCCTGTCTATATTGGTCTACACTGGAATCCAGTAGTAGGTGAAACTGACAGCAATATCCCACACACTTGGGATACATCAGATCCCACCCTTGTGAAACTCTCATGAGGGAAGACAAACACTAAACACAATAAATAAGCAAATTATAGAGTTTATTAGCGATGATACGTGCTATGAAAAAAAGAAAAAGGAGAATATGGTATTGGAGGATAGAGGAAGAAGGCTGCAGCTTTTTTTCCAATTATGATTAAATACACATAACATCAAACTTACCGTCTTAACCTTTTTTTTTTTTTTCTGAGACAGAGTCTCACTCTGTCACCCAGGCTGGAGTGCAGTAGCACGATCTTTGATTACTGCAACCTCTGCCTCCCAGGTTCAAGTGATTCTTATGCCTCAGCCTCCTGACTAGCTGAGATTATAGGTGCATGCCACCACACCTGGCTAATTTTTGCATTTTTAGTAGAGACGGTTTTCACCATGTTGGCCAGGCTGATCTTGAACTTCTGGCCTCAAGTGATCTGCCTGCCTTAGCCTCCCAAAGTGCTGGGATTACAGGCGTGAGCCACTGCACCCAGCCCAATCTTAACCATTTTTAAGTATACAGTTCTCTGGCATTAAGCACGTTCACATTGTTGTACAATCATCACTACCATCCATCTGCAGAACTCTTTTCATTTTGCAAAATTTAAATTTAAATTCAGTACCATTAAACACCAACTCCCCATTCCCTCTCCCCCCACCACCGAGTTCCTGGAACCACCATTTTACTTTCTGTCTCTATGGATTTGACTGCTCTAGGCACCTCATATAAGTGGGATCATGCTGTATTTGTCTTTTTGTGACTGCTTTATTTGCACAATGTCTGCAAGCTTCATCTGCATTGTAGGACTGCCCAAATTTCCTTCCTTTTTTTTTTTTTTTGAGATGGAGTCCCACTCTGCTGCCCAGGCTGGAGTGCCACGGTGTGATCTCAGCTCATTGGGACCTCCATCTCCTAAGTTCAAGCGATTCTCGTGCCTCAGCCTCCCAAGTAGCTGGGATTACAGGTGCATGCCACCACACCTGGCTAATTTTTGTATTTTCAGTAGAGACTGGGTTTCACCATGTTGGCCAGGCTGGTCTTGAACTCCTGCCTTGGCCTTCCAAAGTGCCTCGGCCTTCCAAAGTGCTGGGAATACAGGCATGAGCCACTGCACCCGGCCAAAATGTCCTTCCTTTTTTAAGGCTGAATAATATTCCAAATGTGGATAGACCACATTTTGTTTCTTGAAAATTGCTAAGAGAAGAGATTTTAGCAATATTGCACAATGGAATATTATTCATCCATTCGTCAGTCCATGGGCATGGGTTTTCATGTTTGGCTATAGTGAATAATGCTGCTGTGAACATAGAAGTACGAATATCTCTTCAATACCCTGCTTCCCATTATTTTGCATCTATAACCAGAAGTGGAATTACTGGGTCACATGGCATTATTTTTATTTTTACATTTGAGGAACTGCCATACTCTTTTCCATGATGGCTACACTATTTTATATTTCACCAACAGTGTGCAAAAGTTCCAATTTCTCTACATCCTCACCAACATTTGTTATTTTCTGATTTTTTTGGTCTTTCTTTCTTTTTTGAGACAGGGTCTCATTCTATCACCCAGGCTGGAGTGTAGTGGCACATTCATAGCTCACTGCAGCCTCAAAACCCTGGGCTCAAGCAATCTTCCCTCCTCAGCCTCCTAAGTAGCTGGGACTACAGGCACACACCACCATGGCTGGCTAGTTTTTCAAAATTTTTGGTAGAGACGGGGTCTTGCTTTGTTGCCCAGGCTGGTCTCACAGCTCTTGGCTTCTAGCATTCCTCTCGCATTGGTCTCCCAAAGTGCTGAGATTATGGGCTTGAACCACCATGCCCAGCTCAGGTATTTTTTATTTTAATAGTAGCCATCCTGATGGGTATATGAGAGGGCTGCAAATTTAAAGAGAGTTATTAGGGTAAGCTTTGGTGAGAAGGTGGTATTTGAGACTTTATGAGAGTGAAGCAGGTACCTTGGAGAAGAGCTTTCTAGCGGGTGGATCCTGAGGCAGGAGCCTGGCTGGCATGGCTGAGGAACAGCAGGGAGGCAGCAGCATGAATGGGTAGGATAGTGAAAGAGATGAGGTGAGATGGGAACCATAGAAGATTTTTGAGCCAAGGAAGGACATGATCTGACTTTTAAAGAATCCCTCTGGCCACTGGGTTGAGAATGGGCTATAGGGAGGCAAGGGCAGGAGCGGGAAAACCAGCACAGACATCATTGCAATCAATCCCAGTGAGAGAGGATGGATACTTGAACCAGAGGATTGCAGCAGAAGGGGTGGGAGTCTGGGTGTTAAGTTGAAGGCAGGACCAAAGGATTTCTTGATGGACTGAAAGTGAAATGGGGCCAGGCATGGTGGCTCATGCCTGTAATCCCAGCATTTTGCGGGGCCAAGGCGGGAGGGTCACTTGGAGCCAGGTGACCAGCCTGGCCAACATGACAAAACCCCATCTCTATAAAAAATTAGCTGGGCATGGTGGTGCATGCCTGTTATCCCAGCTACAGGGGTGGCTATGATAATCGCTTGAACCTGGGAGGCAGAGGTTGCGGTGAGCTGAGATCACACCACTGCACTCCAGCCTGGGCAACAGAGCGAGACTCTGTCTCAACAAAACAAAACAAAACAAAAAAGTGAAATGGGAGGAAGAGGGGAGTCTAACTTGACTCCAAAGTTTCCGGCCAAATGGGACAAATGGAGTTGTTATCAACTGAGATGGGGGAGGCTGAAAGAGGAGCAGGTGGAGGACGGACGAAGAGTTCAAGTTCAGACATGTGCTCTCACACCACACCAGACATCTTCTTAGTGTTTTGCACAGGAGAATGTGGCTTCCAGGCGCTCCTACTACCTAATAAGTTGGAAGATCAGGGAAACGAATGCTGAGTGGAGGAAAACAATACCAGCACCACAAATCGAGACCATACTCAAAGCCAGGCACTGTGCTGAGAGCTTCCCAGCGATTATCTCTCTGATCCTTACAACAGCCCTGCAGGTATTATCACTGTTCTGACTTCACCGATAGGCACTCAGCCTTGGGGAGAAGAAGGCTTTGGCCCGAGGCCACCCAGATAGGGCCGGAGCCAGAGTTTGAACCCAGATCTGCCTGAGTCAGTTTCCACATTTTTACCTCTGCTATTGATTAAGACCGGCAGAAGTCAGGGGCAGATTTATTAAAATGGTGGACCCAAACTCAATCTTGAAAGACAGGGTTTGTAAGAAAGGAGACAGTAGATTCAGCAAATGCAGGATGATGTCCCAACTCCTTGTCATATACTACAAGACCCTGGATGGCCTACTCCCTGTTATCCTCAGCAGTTTCCCCTCAAGCCACTTGTTCATTAATGATCTTTTGGCTGATTTTGAGACACACCAAGCTTTTTTCCCAATTCAGGGCTTTTACCCATACAGTTTCTTCTTCCTGGAATGTTCTTAATCCTCTCTCTTTTTCCTGAAATCATATCTCCAGAGGATCAGGTCAAATGTCACTTCCTCAGGGAAGCCTTCCCTGATACCCACCTCCCATCTAAAACTAGTTTCCTTACCTGTACCCTGCATTAGTTCTTTTTTTTTTTTTTTTGAGACAGGATCTCACTCTGTCACTCAGGCTGGAGTGCAGTGTCATGATCATGGCTCATTGCAGCCTTGAACCCCCAGGCTCAAGCAATCCTCCTGCCTCAGCCTCCCTAGTAGTTGGGGCCACAGGCATGAGCCACCAGACCTGGCTAATTAAGAAAAAAATTTTTTTAGTAGTAACAGGTCTCAATATATTCCCCAGGCTTGCAGTAGTTCTTGATAGCACTTAAGACAATTCTCATAATTATTTGCAATGATGTGTTCAGTGTCCTCCCTCCTACCAAACCAGTGCTGTCCAATAGAACTTTCTGCAATTATGGAAATGTCCTAGACCAGGGGTCCCCAATCCCTGGGCCAAGGACCCGTAACGGTCTCTGGCCTGTTAGGAACCGGGCTGCACAGTGAGCCTTGGGTGAGTGAGCATTACCGCCCAAGCTCCACCTCCTGTCAATCAGCAGCGGCATTAGATTCTCATAGGAGCGTGAACCCTATTGTGAACTGACACACAAGGGGTCTAAGTTGCAGGCTCCTTATGAGAATCTAATGCCTGAAGATCTGAGGTGGAATGGTTTTATCCTGAAACCCCAACCCCATCCCCCTACCTAACCACCCCCATCCATGGAAAAATTGTCTTCCAAGAAACCAGTCCCTGGAGCCAAAAAAGTTGGGGACTGCTGGCCTACACGTATGCTGTCCAATATAGTAGCCACTAGCCACATGTAGCTATTGAGTATTTGAAATGTGGTTAGTATGACTGAGGGACAGATTTTTTTAAAATTTTACATTATATATATACACACACATTTTTTTTGAGACAGAGTCTCACTGTGTTGCCCAGGCTGGAGTGCAGTGGCACAATCTTTGCTCACCGCAACCTCTGCCTCCCAGGTTCAAGAGATTCTCCTGCCTCAGCCTCCCAAGTAGCTGGGATGTGCCACCATGCCTGACTAATTTTTTTTGTATTTTTAGTAGAGACAGTGTTTCACCATGTTGGTCAGGCTTGTCTCGAACTGCTGACCTCAAATGATCCACCCACCTCGGTCTCCCAAAGTGCTGGGATTATAGGCATGACCCACTGCACCTGGCCACATATTTTCTATTGTATATTATATATACATTTTATATTCTTTATTATACTATATAAATTATTTCATGTACAAAATGCATACTTTAAATTCATTTAAGTTTAAATTTAAATAGCCACATGTAGCTAGTGGCTAAATGTACTATTGGACATTGCAGCTCTAGATTGCGAGGTGCTTAAGCGCAAGAACCATTCTACCTTACTCAGCTGTAGAATCCTTTGTACCTAGGATGGTATCTAAGTAAATCAGTGAAAGAATGGATGGATGAATGAATGAATGAATGAATGAATGAATCGATCAATCAGTGTCTGCAAACTTGCTTTCAAGAAATCATCCTAGAAAGAACAGACCTAGAAAAGTCTGATTTGCACAAGGTCACACAAAAAGGCAGAACTGGATGCAAACTCTCAGCCTCCCAAATCTCCTCTATGTGGTGCTGTCCCAGAGTGGACAGCATGTGAAAAACAATGGTCTTTTGTGGTCTCAAATGAACCACCCCAGAGCTGTGTGAGGGTTCCTTCAAGTGTGAGGAAGGACTGTTTCTTAGACTCCCTCACTCCCTTTCCCCATTCCCCAACCATGTGAACTACTTAGTGGCTTATAATCTGCTAACACTTGGCCTCCCACGGGACTGAGCCTATTCCAAAGTCCACTCTTGCCAACCCTCTACAAGGCACTCTGAATTTTTTTTTAGCCATATTGCTCTCGGGAAATCTGCTGCCTGCAATCTGTGCATAATATACGAAGGGTGTGGTTTAAAAAACATCTAAATCGTGATTTGTAACCCACTCAGATTCATGTGGCCATTCCTTTTAGCTTACTCTTTTTTTAGAAATTGAGGTCAACACATTTCAGGGCTAATTTTGACTTCATTCAAATGTCATTTGGGGTTTGCAGATTAAGATTTTGAGGGAGTCCAGTACAGTAAACCTACATATTTTGTTTATATAAATGATTTTTCAGATGTAATAATAGTAATAGCTAATATGCATTGAGTGCTTTGTGTCTGCCCGGCATTTGGCATACATTATCTCATTTGATCTTCACAATAACCTTATGAATTAAGTACTGTTATGATCCTCATTGTGTAGCTAAGGAAACTGAGTCTCAGAAAGGTTAAGTCACTTGCTTAAAGTCACACAGCCAGGAAGTGGCATAGTAAGGATTTGAACCCAAGTATGTCTGATTCAAGAGATAATGTACTTAACCAGTACACAATTTGGCCTAATAGATAATATATGTATTTATGCCTATTAAGCACCAGAAAGAATAATCAAGAAACTTAACTCTGGGGAATAGAACTGGGGTTTGAAAAGAAAGGAGACTTACTCTTTATTCTTGTGCTTCTCTTTGAACTTTATTTACCTTTATTTATTGGTACATTGTATTATATTCCTATAAAAACCTAAATTTTTACATTTAAATAAGTGAAAACTTCTTATTTTTGCTTTTTTTAATTAAAGAAGGAATTGTCATGATAATGTCAGGTCTATATATTAGTAGATTAAATATACATGACCCTTTTGCAAAGTTCATATACACATGAATCTTTGAAAAGTTCACATCCTCTGACATTATTGAAAAATTTATCCCAGGAAAACCACAGTTCCAATATGTAGTCTAATTCTGAGTACCAAAGTTCACATTTCTGATATTAAATTATTTTTTATTGGGGGTAATCATTTTATTTTTGAACATGATATTTATTCTCAATAAAAGTTGTATGTTTTCCTTGGGAAATTTGTAATCAGACCTTTACATTTTTATGTACTGTTATATCTACGTCTGGATATTATTACTGAACATCCTCTAGCATTTGTGAAATAATGCTGTATTACATAATCAGATATACTATTTGTGGATCAATTAGTAAAACTTTAAAGCAAATTTTAAATTAATTAAAAATTTTGGTGAAAACTAATTTTACTCTGATTGAAAAGTAAACATTACAATCCCCTTCAGTACTCACAGCCTCAGAGAACTGTATCAGTCACACTAAAAGTCACTTGGGAGAATTCCTCAGTAGATTATAGAAAAAAATAATCCACCATTTTTAAAATCAAGAAAATACACACACACTAACTATAATTTATCCTTTCTAACAATCCCAAAGGGAATCTACTCTTACCACTCAAATGGCTAGTGCTTCTAAAAATTAAAACAACCCCTGCCCCACCAATGTTCTTTTTAATGCCCCCTCTCATACTCTTGGAATTTACTTAACAAATCACTATCTGCTTGTGGTAGGAAAAATCTGTAAGCCCCTCTACAAGGCCCCTGTCCTTTCGGTTGCTTGATATTTCCCCCAGATTCTCAGAGCAAATTTGGTTTTTCTTAAAAATCGCCATCCTCAAAGCAGTATATTCCTGATGTTCCGACAGTGAGTCTCACTCTAGCTAGCTGCTACAAAAACCTTTCATTCAGAAGAAGGCAAGAGGTTTCACCGACCGTGCACAGCCCTCTCATTCACACACTTCATAAACAACAGGACTTTGCCCAACCCTCTCCTCTAGGAAGGCATCCCAGTTTTTTTTATCAACCAGTTTGCAGCATCAGTATCATTCCCTTCCAAAAGACCTTGCAGAAAAATTATGGATTTCACAGCATAGGATTAGGGCTGGAAAGGACCGATGTCATTGCATAGACTCACCAATTCTGTCCACATTTCAAAACAGCAGCTAATGCTTTCTTAAAGCTCACATCTGAAAATCCTTTTAGGATTGAGAGCAATTAAAAGGGGAATCATAACCCCCGTGGTTCCCCCATAAGGTCCTGACAGATCTGATAAATGGAACTGAGTCAGAGATACAGAGGCTGGGCTGCTGGGGAAAGAAAATGGCTTGTCTCCTCCAGGCCCTAATTCCTTCCTCTGAAACAGTTCCCTTTAAATTCAAGAAACCATGCAGAGATGTACCCCCCCCCACCCCCCTTGCAGGTTTTCGTTTTTTAAAAGAAAGCCTGTCTGCCTCTTGCTCGCCCCCATGATACTCACGGCAGCTGCCTTAGCTGGAATAAGTCCTCCTCCATGTCCGCGCTGCGCCAGGATGAGCCCTTCTCATGGCCCTTACATGGTAGTGGTGGATGACGAGCCCTCCGGTTTTCAGCACCGGGAAGCTGGACAGCACCCGCGCCGCTTCCTCCCTGGAGCAGCAGCTGTTCGGGGAGGGAGCCGCTGGGGACCAGCCCACGAGACAAAGCCTCCGCCGCCAGGAGACCGCGGCGAGAGTGGGCGGAGAAGAGGAGGCGGAGGGCAGAGCGAGCTGCGCGGGGAGAGGGGGCAGGGAGAGCCCTTCTGCTTGGAAGAGTTCACAGGCTCTCTGGCTGATGGTGTATCACTGGGATGCCTATAGGGCACACCAGTCTGTGAAATGGTTGTCCGGGTACCAGTGAGCACCCTTTGATTGACGATGCGTGTCTAAATGTTTATTTGCGTGGATTCATTAATGTTATCCGTATAACACTCTTGAAACCCAGGCTGCTGTAACAAATACAGGCATGCATTTAAGTACGGTTTACTGAGCACCTATGTGCCAGGCACTGTAATAGGCACTGGGGGTATGACAGAACAAATTCGACCTGTCATTGTCATCGTGGAGCTAAGGGTCTAGTGAAATGAATCAAGAAAAGAAAAATGTAAATTAGGTATGAGAAGGCCAAAGATCACTCATTCTTTCAACAAGCGTTATTGGGTGAATTCTACAGCCCTGACCCTGGGGAATAAAAACATGAGTAAAATAAAGTCTCTGCCTTCAAGATCCTAGATAGTTTAATGGTTCCCCTAAGCCACCTCTCACTAGAATTTCTGACCCCTTTAGAACTTAAGCTCCATGAGGTTTCACTGATGTGTCCCAAGTACTAGAACAGTGTCTGGCACATAGAAGGTACCCCATAAATATTTGTTGAATAAATGGTTCTCAGTTCAGGCTGCATATAAGAATTGCCTGGCTCCATTTCAAACCAATTGAACTCAACTCTCGGGAGGTGGAGGCCAAGCCTGGGTATTTTTTATTTTTTCAATATTTATTTATTTATTTTTGAGACAAGTTCTTGCTCTGTTGCCCAGGCTGGAGTTGCAGTGGCATGATCATGGCTCATTACAGCCCCAACCACCTGGGCTAAAGCAATCCTCCCACCTCAACCTCCCTAGTAGCTGGGATCACAGGCTCATCCCAGCATACCCAGCTAATTTATTTATTGTAGAGATGGGGTCTTGCTTTGTTGCCCAGGCTGATCTAGAACTCCTGGCCTCAAGCAATCCTCCCATCTCGGCCTCCCAAAATGCTGGGATTATAGATGTGAGCCATTGCGCCCGGCCTCAGGGTATTTTTTAAAAGCTCCCCAGCACCATGAAGTGGAAACCCCTGATCAAGTGTGAACAAATGAAAAGAAAAGCTGGAAAATTATACAACAGAAAACTACTAAGATGATCCATGATGGCAACTGGCAAAAGCTATGAGAATGACCGTTGAATGGACACTTACAAGGAACTAAAGGAAGAAGGAAACATTTTTTTCTTTTTTTCTTTAATTGTTGACAAAGGGTGGGGGAAGTTGGAAGAGGGAACAAGAAAACCAATCTGAGAACTGAAAACAATCTCACATCGAATCCATAAAAGGACTTGAAAATCCAAAATTGAATGTGTGCCAGGCACCCGGATATGTACTTCACCATGGTCCCCTTGATCTTTGCAACAATCCTATGAGCAGGTGTGATTTTTATCCTTATTTTGTAAGATGAGGAAACAAGGCTCAGAGAAGGGTAGATTTGCTTGCACAAGGTCATGAGGACAGGAAAGAGTTGATCTGGACTTAAAACCCCGGCAGTCTATCTCCACAACCTGCGCCCTTAAATGCTAGGCTTTCTCTGAGTGTCTCAAAAGAAACCATCCATTGCGGGTATAGTAGGAGAAATTGGAACTATTGAAACATTGGATAACTTTAAACAAATCTAATGTTGGGAAAACCAATTATACAGTGGTACTCAAGCTCCAATGTATTATTTATCTAGTAAATATTAATGAGCAACAACTATGTGTCTGTCACAATGATAGTTTGAACTTATTCATGGCTCCTTCTCACCTCATACTGGAGTCAATCACAAGTTGTCCCACCCACACTTATTTCTAAAGGAATCTCTCCCCCATCCCTGCTGTGCACTACATTTGGTATCACATGATTCCTGGCCACAGCTGATTGGCTAAGAGGGTGGACACTTATCTAAAGACATCCAATCCAAACACTTGTCAGTATCCCCATTGTTGCATAGCTGGGAAAGGGAGCTGGACAACCTGGTACCTTTTCGATTATGGATTCAAATGTCTCTGAAGGTTTTTGCTTTAATTACCCCTTTTCCCTCAATCCTGGTGTCAGGTGGGGCTCTCTAGGGCTCTATGAATATTCATTATGCTCACTCTAAACAGCCCTCTTAGGGGTCGGGTACCATGGCTCACGCCTATAATCCCAGCACTCTGGGAGGCCGAGGCGGATGGATCACTTGAGGTCAGGAGTTCCAGACCAGCCTGGCCAACATGGCAAAACCTCGTCTCCACTTGAAAATAAAAAAACTTAGCCAGGTGTGGTGGCACAGACCTGTAGTCCCAGCTACTCGAGAGGCTGAGGCAGGAAAATCGCTTGAAGCCAGGAAGCAGAGGTTGCAATGAGCTGAGATCGCGCCACTGCACTCCAGCCTGGGTGATAGAGCGAAACTCTGTCTCAATAAATAAATAAATAAATAAATAGCCCCCTTATCATCCCATTTCAGCTTCTACTCATGTGCCTTAATCAGGACTTTTTTTTTTTTTTTTTTTTTTTGAGACAGAGTCTCTCTCTGTCACCCAGGCTGGAGTGCAATGGCGCAATCTCGGCTCACTGCTACCTCCACCTCCCGGATTCAAGCAATTCTCTGCCTCGGCCTCCCAAGTACCTGGGATTACAGGTGCCCGCCACCATGCCTGGCTAATTTTTTTGTATTTCTAGTAGAGACGGGGTTTCACCATCTTGGCCAGGCTGGTCTTGAACTCCTGACCTTGTGATCCACCTGCCTCGGCCTCCCAAAGTGCTGGGATTACAGGTGTGATCACCACCGCGACTGGCCAATCAGTATTTTTTGATGTTCAACAGAGACCAAGTCAAGTTCCTTCAAAGGAAAAAGGGAGTTTGCAGCCTGGAACTGGAGAGTGGTTAAAGCAGGCTCAGTCCTGGGGACTCTCTTCCCAGCTCCACCTCTTCCTGGGTGGGTAACCTCGAGCAGGTTGTCTAACTTTCCGTGCTTGCATTTCCTCATCAGAAATACGGGGATCAATAACCATAACTACTTCATAGGGTGGTGGTCAGAATCAAAGATAAAATGGAGGTGAAGGACCACACACTTGGATGGCACATAATAAGTGTTAGCTGTTGCAATGGTTAAATTAATTTATTTTAATTTTATTTTTTGAGACAAGATCTGGCTCTATCATCCAGGCTGGAGTGTGGTGGTGTGATCTCAGCTCATTGCCACCTCCACCTTTCAGGCTCAAGCCATCCTCCCACCTCAGCCTCCCGAATAGCTGGGATTACAGGTGTGCGCCACCATGCCAGGCTAATTTTTGTATTTTTTATAGAGAGGGGGTATCATCATGTTGCCCAGGCTGGCCTCAAACTCGTGAGCTCAAGCAATCAACCTGCCTCGGCCTCCCAAAGTGCTGGGATTGCAGGCTTGAGCCACCGTGCCCGGCCACAATGATTAATTTTAAGTATCAACTTGGTGGGTTTAAGGAATACCTAGAGAACTGGTAAAGCAGCATTTTTTTTTTCCCGAGACCGAGTCTCGCTCTGTCTCCCAGGCTGGAGTGCAGTGGCGCGATCTCAGCTCACTGCAAGCTCTGCTTCCCAGGTTCATGCCATTCTCCTGCCTCAGCCTCCTGAGTAGCTGGGACTACAGGCGCCCACCACCACCCTGGGCTAATTTTTTGTATTTTTAGTATTGACAGGATTTCACCATGTTAGCCAGGATGGTCTCGATCTCCTGATCTCGTGATCCACCTGCCTTGGCCCCCCAAAGTGCTGGGATTACAGGCGTGAACCACCACACCAGCCTAAAGCAGCATTTTTTGGTGTGTCTGTAAGGGTGTTTCAAGAGGAGATTGCTGTGTGAGTCTGAGTGGACAAAGTTCAGGAAGATCTGCCCTCGATGTGTGAATGAGCACCATCAAATCAGCTAGAGGCCCAGACAGAACAGAAACAGAGGAAAGGTGAGTTGATCTCTTTCTCCAGGAGCTGTTTCTTCTCCTGCCCTTGGACATCAGAACTGCAGGCTCTTTAGTCTTTAGAAACCAAGACTTACATGTGTGGCCCCCTTGGGTTTTTGGGCCCTTGAATTTGGCCCAGCATCCCAGGGTTTCTAGCTTGCAAATGGTCTGTTATGGAAATTCTCAGCCTCCCTAATTATGTTGGCCAATTCCCCTGATAAATCCCTTCATGTATTATATGAGAGATACCTTATATTTATATCTATGTAATATATTATATTATATGAAGATATTATTTATCTTGTTGGTTTTGTCTATCCGGAGAGCTCTGACTAATACAGTGCTTATCATTATGTTGCTCTCTTCACCCCCCAGCCCCCAAATCAATATCTTTTCTACTACCTTAAAATGTTAGCTGGCCTATGAAGGATAAGAAAAATAGATGGTATTGGGAAAAACTAAATCCTCCTCAAGTTTATGGAAATCAACAGAACATGTCCAAAATTGAGAAAACAAAAACTAGCCATATGAGTATCTCATATAGAAATTTGCCTGTAGATACTAAAAGAAGCAGCTAAAAGACTGAGAGTGGGTGGAAGTGGAACTGCCACTTTTTTTTTTTGACAGGGTCTTGCTCTGTCACCCAGGCTGGAGTGCAGTGGTGTGATCACAGCTCACTGCAGCCTGGACAGTAATCCTCCTGCCTCAGCCCAGCTCTAGCGATTCTCCCACCTCAGCCTCCCGAGTAGCTAGGACTACAAGTGTGCACCACCACACCTGGCTAATTTTTGTATTTTTTGTAGAGATGGAGTTTTGCTTCATTGCCCAGGCCGATCTCAAACTCCTGGGCTCAAGGGATCCTCCCACCTTGGCCAAAGGTGCTGGCATTACAGGTGTGAGCCACTGACCCTGGCATGAAGCGTTTTTTAAGTTGTAAATTTTTGGTACTATTTTATTTTTAAAACCATGTGTATCTTACTACCATGATTCTTTTAAATAATTTTTTAATTAAAATAAATTTTTTGAAACAGGGTCTGGCTCTGTTGCCCAGGCTGGAGTGCAATGATGCAATCTCAGCTAACTGCTACCTCCACTTCCCAGGCTCAAATCATCCTCCCACCTCAGCCTCCTGAGTAGCTGGGACTGCAGGCGCATGCCATCACACCTTGCTAATTTTTGTATTTTTGGTAGAGACAGGGCTTCACTGTGTTGCCCAGGCTGGTCTCGAACTCCTGGGCTCAAGTGATCCACCCGCCTTGGCCTCCCAAAGTGCTGGGATACAGTTGTGAGCCACCAGACCTGGCCTAAAAATAATTTTTATTGTGGTAAATACATATGTCTTAGCCAGGTCAGTTGCCATAACAAAATATCATAGTCTTGGTGGCTTACACAACAGAATTTTTTTTTTTTTTGAGACAGGGTCTCTGTCACTCAGGCTGGAATGCAGTGACATGATCATGGCTCACTGCAGCCTCAACCTCCCAAGCTCAAGTGATCCTTCCACCTCAGCCTCCTGAGTAGCTTCCTGTAGTAGACCGTAGGTGCGCACCACCATGCCCACCTAATTTTTGTATTTTTTCTGGGGAAGGAGTCTCACTATGTTGCCCAGGCTGGTCTCAAACTCCTGCATTCAAGCCATCCACCCACCTCGGCCTCCCAAAGTGTTGAGATTACAGGTGTGAGCCACTACACCCAGCCCAGAAATCCATTTCTAACAGTTCTAGAGGCTGACAAGTTCAAGATCAAAGTGCCAGTATAGTTAGGTTCTGGTGAGGGCTCTCTTCCCAGCTTGCAGATGGCCACCTTCTCTCTGTGCTTACATGCTCTTTCCTTGGCACATAAGCATAAAGAGAAAGCAAGCTCTCTGGCATATTTTCTTATAAGGGCACTATCTCATCATGTCAGCCCCACCTGCATGACCTTCTGTAACCCTGATTACTTCCCAAAGGCCCCATTTCCAAATACACATTATGGGGTTAGGGCTTCAACATATACATTTGGGGTGGACACAAACATTCAGTCCTTAACTATGTATCATAAAGTTTGAAGTGTACAATTTAGTGGCTTAGAGTATATTCATAATGTTATATAACCATCACGCTATTGACTTCCAGATCTTGATCATCCCAAAGAGAAACTCTACCCATTGAGTAATAACTCCCTGTTCCTCCCTCCTCCCAGCCTCTGGTAACCTCTATTCTACTTTCTTTTTTATTTTTATTTTTTAGAGACAGGGTCTCACTCTGCTGTCCAGGTTGACGTGCAGTGATGCAATCACGGCTCACTGCAACCTCAACCTTCTGGGCAATCCTCCCACCTCAGCCACTGGAGTGGCTGGAACTACAGGTGCATGCCACCATGCCCAGCTAAGTTTTATTTATTTATTTTTCTGTAGAGACAGAGTCTTGCTATGTAACCCAGGCTGGTCTCGAACTCCGGCTTCAAGCAATCCTCCTGCCTCAGCCTCCCAAAGTGCTGGGATTATAGGTGAGTGCCACAGTGCCAGGCCTATTCTACTTCCTGTTTCTATGAATTTGCCTACTCTAGTTACCTGATAAGAGTGGAATCATACAATATTTGTCCTTTTTATGTGGCTTATTTCACTTAACATAATGTTTTCAAGGTTCATCTGTGCTGTAGCATCTATCAGAACCTCATTCTTTTATATGACTGAATAATATTTCTTTGTAGGTATATGGCACATTTTGTTAATCCATTCATCTGTTGATGGACACGTGGGTTGTTTCCACCTTTTTGGCTATTGTGAAGAATGCTGCTATAAACATTGGTCTACAGTGTATCCCTTTGAGTCCCTGTTTTCAATTCTTATGAGTATATAAATAGGAGAAGAGTTGCTGAGTCATATGGTAACTATGTTTAAGTTTTTGAGGAACTGCCAAGCTGTTTTCTACAGCAGCTGTACCATTTTACATTCCCACCAGCAATGCACAAGGATTCCAATTTCTGCACATTCTCCTCAACACTTGTTGATAATAGCCATCCCAGTGGGTGTGGAGTGGTCTGATTTGCATTTCCCTAATAACTAACAATGTTGAGCATCTTTTCATGTGCTTATTGGCCACTGGCATATCTTCCTTGAGGAAATGTCTATGCAAGCCCCTCACTCATTTTTTAATTGAATTGTTCGGGGATTTTTGCTGTTGAGTTGCAGGAATATTCTATTAGGCCATTTTTGTATTGCTGTAAAGGAATACCTGACACTGGGTAATTTATAAAGAAAAGAGATTTAATTGACTCACAGTCTGCAGGCTGTACAGGAAGCATGGCGCTGGCATCTGCTTCTGGTGAGGGCCTCAGGAAGCTTAGAGTCATGATGGAAGGTGAAGGGGAGCAAGACAGAGAGAGGGGAGGTGCCACACCCTTTTTTTTTTCTGTTTTTTTGTTGTTGTTGTTGTTTTTGTTTTGAGATGTAGTTTCCCTCTTGTCGCCCAGACTGGAGTGCAATGGTGTGGTCTCAGCTCACTGCAACCTCCACCTACCAGGTTCAGGCAATTATCCTGCCTCAGCCTTCTGAGTAGCTGAGATTACAGGCGTGTGCCAACACGCCTGGCTAATTTTTGTAATTTTAGTAGAGAGGGGTTTCACCATGTTGACCAGGCTGGTCTCAAACTCCTGACCTCAGGTGATCCACCCCCCTCAGCCTCCCAAAGTGCTGGGATCACAGGCATGAGCCACCACACCCGACTACCACACACTTTTAAACAATCAGATGTCTTGTGAACTTACTCATCACCACAGCAATGGTGCTAAGCCATTCATGAAGGATCCACCCGCATGATCCAAACACCTCCCACTAGGCTCCACCTCCAACACTGGAGATTACATTTTAACATGAGATCTGGAGGGGACAAATATTCAAACCATATCAAATGTCCTTGAGATTTGAAAATATTGATGTATAATTAAAATGTTGGCTTGTTGTGGTCCTTACCCAATTACAGGGCATCTTTACAACTCCTGCTCAGCTCAGCTATGAATCATGTCAAGTTTCCTACCTTCTAAGAGAAGCTTCTGATTGCCACAGTACATCTTTTTAAGCCAGTTTATATAGATCATGGAGAGTTCTCACAGAAAGATACTGGCTGCAGCTTGGTCCAGATGTCTAGCTCTGGACCTGCGGTCAGTGTAAGAATTAAAGAAAGAGGAAAGAAACATGAAAAGTGGTTCAACTGTCAAAGACAAGTTTATTTTGGAGAATAAACCTGAGAGGGGCTTCTGGCCGAGTTAGGTCAGAGGCACTCTCTCTGACAGACTAAAAGTTTTTAAGGGTTCAGGGCAGGAGAGCTTATCACAGGCTTGGAATGTTTCTGTGTCTCTGTCTTGCTTATCTGGGAGGGAGAGTTTTGTGTCTGTTTCCATACATCTCTCTGACACTACAGGCATATCCCCTGAGTGTGCATTTAGCTTCCCTATCTTAGTGCACCTAAAGGGAAAGGAATGTACTTATTAGGGCACACTGTTTTACTAGGGCCCATTGTATGAGTGTGAAGTTTGGTGGTTACCCAAGAGACTTTCCACCCTCCCTCCGTGCCTGAGCTATCTTATCTGTGTTTTACTGTCTGCTCTTTCTGGCTGCTTACTGTTAGAAGAGAAGTGATTTCCTTGAAATGCATGAGGTTAGAAAGGGACCTGGAACAAAGTGGCAGTGTTTATCCAAGATGACGGTGCTCCTACTCTGTCAGACAGGGCATATGGCAGTCCATAACAGAGAACACAGCTGCTGAGAAGGCAGGGCTATGGGTAGGGCCGGTTCCTAGAAGGTAGGGTGAGAGGGGCAACCTTTGATTAACATTAATGGTACCCTATCTGTTAAGGCCTCTGAGAAAGTTCCCCGAGTTCTCCAGCCCTCCCATAATCCCTCCTCTCCCATCTGTACAACACTCTACATTCTTAAACAAGCAAATAGTTTATTTCCAGTAATCATTATTGAAATACGTGTTGAACTATATTTTCTGCCACTGAATACATGTTCACCTTCTTCCTGCAAGTTACGCTGTAAGATTAAGGCAGGGAACCTACTTTATACCTTTCCCACACCTACAAAAATCCTGTCGCCCTGCCCAGCTGTCAATCATTGTGTACTGGGCACCAGCTTTGGAGTCAGACACACTCAGCTCTGTGACTTACTACCTGTGTGATGGTAGACAGATTATTTTCCCTCTTTGAGTCTCAGTTGCATCATCTGTAAAATAGAGACAGATACCAACCTGCAGGTCTATTGTGTGGATTAAACAAGATGATGGATATTCATGTGCATGGCAAATGATTGTATGAAACAAATATATGTCAAACTCCCACTATAAGCAAGATCCTAATACAAGATCTTAAAACAAGTTTTTGAAAGAAAGGGGATATAGGGAGATGTTTGATCAAGGTGTACAAAGTTTCTTTCATTTATACAAGATGAATAAATTCTGGAGATCTAACGTACAGCATGGTGACTATAGGTAACGATACTTGAAATTTCTTAAAAGGGTAGATTCTAAGTGTTTTCACCAGACACACACACAAAAAGGTAGGTTGCTTGTTTGTTTGTTTGTTTTTTGAGACGGAGTCTCACTCTGTCGCCAGGCTGGAGTGCAGTGGCGCTATCTTGGCTCACTGCAACCTCTGCCTCCCAGGTTCAAGCAATTCTCTGCCTAAGTCCCCCGACTAACTGGGATTACAGACACCTGCCACCACGCCTGGCCAATTTTTGTATTTTTAGTAGAGAGAGGGTTTCACCATCTTGGCCAGGCTGGTCTTGAACTCCTGACCTCATGATCCACCTGCCTCGGCCTCCCTAAGTGCTGGGATTACAGGCGTGAGCCACCGTGCCAGGCCGATTGTGATTCTTTTACAATGTACACATATATCAAATCATCAAGTTGTACATCTTAAATATATACAGTATTTTTAAAATCAGGGGATGCTGAGCAAAGGGTATACCAGAACCTTCTGTTCTGTCTTTACAACTCTCCTGTAAATCCAAAATTATTCCAAAATAAAAAGTTTAATTTAAAAAACTAAAAAAAAACATACTTTTGAGCCATCTTAATATAGTATATTTTATAGAACTAGATAAACATGTTCAATGTCTATTTAAAATTTTAATTTATTAATGTGACTACACGCATTGGAAATGGCATATTACATAAAACAACAACCCATTTACAAATGCTACTTTTGTCCATCATTTTTATGGAACAGTTTCATTCAAACTCTACACATGTGTCCTCAATGGCATTGTCTTTGTCATGCTGGATCCACTTTTTTACTCACTTAACTCAGTTTTTTTCCAGAGCACATCATCTTCACTTCCAATTCAGCTGTATGAGGTATAGCACTTTTAAAATTTGCCACTGACAGTTTCTTTAAAAGTTAAACATAGAATTAATTACTCTATGATCTGGCAATTCCACTCCTAGGTATATACAAAAAGAATTAAAAACAGGGACTCAAACAAAAACGTGAACAACAAATGTTCATAGCAGCATTATTCACAATAGCCAAACAGTGGAAGCAACCCATGTGTCCATCAATAGATGAATGGATAAACAAAATGTGGTCTATCCATGCAATGGAATATCATTCAGCCATACAAATGAATGACGTTCCAATAGAAGCTACAATATGGATGAGGCTTGAAAACATTATGCTTAGTGAGATAAGCCAGTAACAACAAAAAAATATTGCATGATTCCCCTTATATGAGGTCTCAAAAGTAGTCACTCATAGAAACAGAAGGTAGAGACGAGGTGTGATTACTCGGGCTTGTAATCCTAGCACTTTGGGAGGCCAAGGCAGGAGGATTGCTTGAGCTCAGGAGTTCGAGACCAGCCCTGACAACATAGCAAGACCTCATCGCTACATTTTTTTTTAATTAGTCAGGTGTCATGGTGTGCATCTGTAGTCCCAGCTACTTGGGAGACTAAGGTAGGAGGATCACTTGAGCCTAGGCAGTCAAAGCTACAGTGAGCCATGATTGTGCCACTGCCCTCCAAACTGTGTGGCAGAGTGAGACTCTGTCAAAAAAAAAAAAAACACGGGCAACATGGTGAAACCCGTCTCTACAAAAAAAAAAATTACCTGGGCATGGTGGCTTGTGTCTGTAACCCCAGCTACTTGGGAGGCTGAGTCAGGAGGGTTGCTTGAGCCCAGGAGGCAGAGGTTGCAGTGAGCCAAGATCATGCCACTGCACTCCAGCCTGGGAGATAGAATGATACTGTCTAAAAAACAAAATAAATGCTCTATGCAAAACTTGTATTTAAATGTTCATAGCATTATTATTCATAACAGCCAAAAATTGGAAACAAGTCAAATGTTTATCAAATGATATGAATGGATAAACAAAATGTGGTATACCCATACAATGGAATATTATTTGTCAATAAAAAAGAAATGCAGTACTGATTATGGTGTAATATGGAAGAACCTTAAGAACATTGTGTTAGGTGAAACAATCCAGACATAGAAGGCCACATGTTGTACATATTGTGTGATTTCATTTACATGCAACATCCAGAATAGGCAAATCCATAGAGACAGAGAGTAGATCAGTGGTTGCTTAGGAATGGGGTTGTGGAGGGGGAAATGGAGATTGACTGCTAATACATATGACGACTCTTTTAGAAGGGACAAAAATGTCCTAAAAGTAGATGTGATAGTTGCACAACCCTGTGAATATACTTTAAAAAACCCCTATTAAATTGCACACTTTAAAGGCAGCTGCCTCCAGCCCACCACATTATCCATCTGTCTAGGAAATGGGGGCATGCCAAAAGCCAGATGGGTTTTATTTCACACCAGAGCAATGCATCATGATTTCCCCCCTCAGATTCTTAAAACAAAAGTGAATACTTTAAGGGAGACTGGAATAGAGACTGACAAGCTGCCCCTTAGCCTGAAATACTGAAAATAAAAAGCATGTGCTATGTACAAGCAGTCCCCCAATCAACTGTGTTCTAAATCCTATTCTTATCAAGACAGTATTCTACCAGTTATGAAAATGGCACTTAATTTTTTAAAAAGAAGCCCATGGACTTAAATTCAAAAAATGGATTTGTCTTTTTTTCTTTGAAACTTAAGTTGGAGTGTCAGAGTCAAATAAAATATAGAGGTGAACCTCTAAACTTAAAACATGTTATTTGAGAAGGAAGAATTATACTTCAAGGCATACCCATAGACCGGGTAGTCTTCAGTATGTATAAAGAACAAGCGAAGTTTGGAGGTTTTATAAAATGGAGAAATGTTACATGTTATTTTGAAAGAAAGTTCATTGGCACTGGTAAAGTTTGGAGGAGCTGGCAAATTCTGACTGGTGAGTGACAGGGATGGGTAACATTAGTCTTCGAGTCACAGCAGGTTGTTTTAGTAACACTGGTTTCAGGTTACAGCAGGCAGTTTGAGCAGCCAGGCTTGCAGAGAATTATTAATATAGCCTTGGAGCAATGCTATGTGCCCTGAGTACTTTTTCTCCCTGGCCTCTTGACTCTGTTTCAGTTGGGTATGACAAGAATGACCAAATTTGTATGATCAAATTTCACATGATTTAAAGAAAAAAAAGTGGGGGAATAAAACATTGATGGAAAGTCCCTAGTCTGCTAGCCATGCTGATGGGATGGCACTTCCATCTAGAGTCACTCCCAGATCCCTGGCACTGTGCTGGGAGCAGGTAAGTACCTCTTGACTTTGCCACAGAAGCTGGTAAAGAGGTGAGGCTTGGTTAAGAGGTTAAGCCCTTGTTAAATAATGTAAAGGTGCACAACTTTAAGGAGTCCCTGGGTCACATAGCTCATCCCTCCATGAAAATACAAGATGTCTAATCAGTACAATAACTAGGGAGGCCAAAAAGGGCAGAGAGAAAAACTGTGTAGCTTGCTCAAAGGACAAACTCCAAAAGTCTCCTAGTAAAACCCTAATCCCTCAGATAATGTGTTCCCAGAGGGCCGTAACATAAACAAGGGGAAGAGGTAATTCAGAAGCTGGTAAACCTGTCCAGACCTAAGGAAAAGCTCTCAAACAAAAACAGCTCAACGTGTCTGAGTCGTTGTTTTCAAAGGAATAGTGGTCTTCTCTCCACAATATTGTGACTTGTACCTCGTGTTTTTATTTTTACTCAATTTTCTAATTTCCCTTGTTAATGTTTCTCTTACCTATTGGCTATTCAGGAATGTGTTGTTTAATTTCCACATATCTATAAAATTTCCCAAATTCCTGTTTGTTATTGATTTCTAATTTCATTCCATTGCAGTTAGAGAACATATTTTATATGATTTCAATTCTTTTAAATTTTGAGGCTTATTTTATGGCCTAATATATGGTCTATCTTGAGGAATGTTTCATAAGCCACTTGAGAAGAAAGTGTATTCTGTAGGCCAGGTGTGGTGGCTCATGCCTGTAATCCCAACGCTTTGGGAGACTGAGGTGGGAGGATCGCTTGAGCTCATGAGTTCAAGACCAGCCTGGGCAACATAGTGAGACCCCCATCTCTATTAAAAAAGAAAGAAAGAGAGAAAATGCATTCTGCTGCTGTTGGGTGATGTGCTCCATAGATGTCTGTTAGAAACAGTTTATAGTGTTGTTCACGTCTGCTATTTCCTTGTTGATCTTCTGTCTAGTTGTTCTATCCATTATTGAAAGTAGGATATAGAAGTCTCCAACCATTACTGTTAAATTGTCTATTTCTCCCTTTAATTCTGTCCTTTTTTTTTCATTGTATTTTGGGCCTGTATTGTTAAGTGCATGTATGATTACAATTGTTTTATCTTCTTAATGAATTGGCTCTTTTATCATTATAAAGATTTTTTGGTTTTGAGTAACAATTTTTGTCTCAAAGTCTATTTTGTCTGATATTAGTGTAATTACTTCAGCTCGCTTTTGGTTGCTGTTTGAATGATACCACTTTTTCCATCCATTTACTTTTAACCTATTTGTGTCTATGAATCTGAAATGAGACTCCTGAAGATAGAATATAGTTGGATTATTTTTTTCACTTTGCCAATCTCTGACTTGTAATTGTAGAATATAATACACTCAAATTTAATGTAAAAAATTAATGTAATCACCAATAATGTAGGATTTACATTTTACTATTTGCTTTCAATATGTCATGTCTTTTTTGCTCCTCAGCTCCTCCATTACTGTCTTCTTTTGTGTTCAATATATATTTTCTAGTGTACCATTTTATTTCTTTTGTCTTTTCTTTCACTATATATTTTTGAGTTATTTTCTTAGTAGTTGCCCTGGAGATTACCATTACCATTTCAATTTGTTTATTTATTTTATTTTATTTTATTTTATTTATTTATTTTGAGATGGAGTCTCACTCTATTGCCAGGCTGGAGTGCAGTGGCACAATCTCGGCTTACTGCAACCTCCGCCTCCCGGGTTCAAGCGATTCTCCTGCCTCAGCCTCCTGAGTAGTTGGGACTACAGGCATGTGCCACCATGCCCAGCTAATTTTTGTATTTTTAGTAGAGATGAGGTTTCACCATGTTGGCCAGGATGGTCTTGATCTCTTGGCCTAGTGATCCGCCCACCTCGGCCTCCCAAAGTGCTGGGATTACAGGCGTGAGCCACCACACCCAGCCACCATTTTGATTTATAACAATCTAGTTTGGATTAATACCAACTTAATTTCAATAGTATATAAAAACATTGCCATATGTATCTCACTTCCCCTTAAGCTGTTATTGTTAAGATTACATCTTTAGGCATTGTGTGCCCATCAGCATAAATTTATAATTATTGCTTTATGTGGTTGTCTTTAAAATCAGATACACAAAAAAATTATATACAAAAAATACATGGGCCAGGCACAATGACTTATGTCTGTAATCCTAGCACTTTGGGAGGCCTAGGTGTGAGAATTGCTTGAGCTCAGGAATTCCAGACCTGGTCAACATAGTGAGACATCATCTCTGCAAAAAATAAACAAAATTAGCTGGGCATGGTGGCCCATGGCTGTAGTCCCAGCTAATTGGGAGGCTGAGGTGGGAGGATTGCTTGAGACCAAGAGGTTGAGGCTGAAGTGAGTCAGGGTTTCACCATTGCACTTAAGCTTGGGTGATAGAGTGAGATCCTGTCTCAAAAAATATGTATATATTTATACTTTCTTTTATGTTTACCTATGTAGCCAACTTTACGGATGCTCTTTATTTCCCCATGTGGGTTTGAATTACTGTTAGTGCCCTTTCATTTTAGCCCAAAATGTTCCTTTTAGTATTTCTTTCTTTCTTTTTTTTTTTTTTAGGGAGTCTCACCCTTTCACCCAGGCTGGAGTGCAGTGGTGTGATCTCAGCTCCCTGCAACCTCCACCTCCCAGGTTCAAGAGATTCTCCTGCCTCAGCCTCCTGAGTAGCTGGGATTACAGGTGTGAACCACGCCCAGCTAATTTTTGTATTTTGGATAGAGATGGGGTTTCACCATGTTGGCCTGGCAGGTCTCAAACTCCAGACCTGAGGTGATCCACCCTGCTTGGCCTCCCAAAGTGCTGGGATTACAGGTGCCCTTTAGTATTTCTTATAGGGCAAGTCTGCTAGTGACAAGTCTCTGTTTTTTTGTTTTGTTTAAGAATCTGGGAATGTCTTAATTCCTCCTTCATTTTTAAAGAATAGTTTTGCCAGATATAGTATTATTGTTGACAGCTTTGTTTTTTTTTAATACTTTGAATATGTCCTTCTACTACCTTTGGACCACCAAGGTTTCTAATGAGAATTTAGCTGTCAGTCTTATTAAGTATACCTTTTATGTGAGGGTTGCTTCTCTCTGCTTTCAAAATTCTCTTTGTCTTTGGCTTCCTACTGTTTAAATAGAATGTGTCTAGATGTGGACCTCTTTGAATATATTCTCTTGGAGTTCATTGAGCTTCTTTGATGTATAGATTAATGTTTTCCATAAAATGTTGGAAGTTTGGCATCTTTTTTTCTTCAGGTATTTTTTCTTCCCTTTTGTTTTTCTCCTTTCTTTCTGGAATTACCATTATGCCTAAATTGGTATGCCTGATGGAGTCCCACAGGTCTCTGAGCCTATGTTCATTTTCCTTCAATTATTTTTCCTTCTGTTCCTCATCTCAATGGAACTATCTTCATGTTCATTGATACTTTGCTTACCTGTTCAAATCTGCTGTTGTGCTCGCTAGTGAATTTTTCATTTCAGTTATTCTACTTTTCAACTTCAGAATTTCTACTTCATTCCTTTTAATAATCTCTATCTCTTTATTAATATTCTCCATTTGGGGAGACATTGTTCTCATTCTTTCCCTTAGATCTTTATGTCTAAATTCCTTTGATCATATTTAAAACTTATTTAAAGTCTTTGTTTCATAAGTTCAATGTCTGGACTTCCTCAAACACAATTTTTACTGTTTTTCCCCCTGTGCATAGGCCTTACTTTTTTTGTTTCTTCACATGTGTCATTATTTTTTATTGAATGCTGAGCATTTTATATAATATAATATGGCAACTCTGGAAATCAGATTCTCCTCCCTCCTCAGGGCTTGTTTTTGCTGCTGCTTGTTGTAGTTGCTGTTTGTTTTGTGGCTTTTCTGAACTAATTCCATAAACTCAGTTAGTGGCCTACAGGTGTGGCCACTGAAAACTCAGATAGCTTAGTGGTCAGCTAATAATTGGATAGAGATTTCCTTAAATGCCTGGAACTGCCTGGAACCAGTAAATCTTCCAGTCTTTGCCAAGGAGTGCCGTGTGTGTTGGGGTACACCTTCAACACTCAGCCTGTCAGCTGAAAACTCTGCCTTAGGCTTCACTTCCTGCTTGTGTCAAACATCAAGGTCAGCCAGATGTGAGAACTTAGGGCCTTCTCAGGTTTACCCTGAGCATGTAGAGAGTGCTGCACATGTGTATGTCCTTCTAGATACTCAGAATTACATCTGAATTTTTCAAAGCCCCTGAATATCTGATTCCTCAGATTTTCTTTTTTTTTCTTCCACTTTTATTTTAAGTTCCCAGGTACATGTGCAGGATATGCAGGTTTGTTACATAGGTAAGTGTGCCATGGTGGTTTGCTGCACAGATCAACCTATCACCTAGGTATTTAGCCCAACATTCATGAGCTGTTATTTCTGATGCTCTCCCTCCCCCGACCCCTCCAAAGGCCCCAGTGTATGTTGGTTCCCGCCCCCCTCCCCACCTGCCAGTTTCCATGTGTTCTCACCATGCAGCTCCCAATTGTAAGCATGTAAATATGTGGTGTTTGATTTCTGTTCCTGGATCAGCTCCATCCATGTCTCTGTCAAGGACATAATCTCATTCATTTTTATGGTTGCATAGTATTCCATGGTGTATATGTACCACATTGTCTGTATCCAGTCTATCATTGATGAGCATTTGGGTTGAATCCATGTCATTGCTATTGTAAATAGCACACATTTTCCTTTTAAGCTTTTTTTCCCTTTTAAGCTTTTTGCTAGTCTATCTTTTTTTTGCTGCAATTGTTATTCATTTCTTCAGCAATGAATGCTATTTATTAAAATACTTACCTGCAATGTTTCAACAAACAGTCTGTGTGGGCTTATATTTCCCTTTCTCTTGGATAAATAAATACCTAGAAGAGGAATGGTTGGATCATTATGGTAAGTTTATGTTTCTCTTTATATGAATCTGCCAAATAGTTTTCCAAAGTATATTATTTTACATTCCTGCTAGCAACGTATGATATCCAGTTGCTCCAAATCCTCACCAACAAGTGATATTAATTTCTTTAATTTTAGCCATTCTAATGGGTGTGTGGTGGTATTATATAATGGTGTTAATTTTTGTATCCCTGATGACTAGTGATGTTGACCATCTTTTCATGTGCCTACTGATCATTCTCATATACTGTATTGTGAAGTATCTGTCCAGATATTTTGCCAGTTCAGAGGGAATTGTTTTTCTTCTTATTGAATTGCAAGAGTTCTTTACATATTCCGGATACAAGTCTTTGTTAGATATATGTATTATAAACATTTTGTGGCTTATCTTTTTGTTTTCTTAACAGTGTTTTTTGAAAAGAAAAATTTTAAAATTTTGATTAGATCCAATGTATCAGTTTTTTCTTTTCTAGTTTGTGCTTTTTGTGATCTATCTATGAAATCTTTGTCTACCCCAAGGTTGCAAAGATTTTTCTCCGTTTTCCTCAGAAAGTTTTACAGTTTTAACTTTCAATTGTAGATCTATAATTCATTTCAAGTTAATTTGCATGTCTTGTTACATTCTTTTACAATAGTGTACCTTCTATATTTTTATGTGTCTTATCCTATAGTTCTCTATGGTTTATTTTGGCCATAGAGGAATGTCATATCTTCCAAAAAGGTTTGGGTGGGAAGACAGGAGATAGGGCTTGTGTTCTAGTCATTTGACCTTAGATAAAGTTCCTACAATGCTCTCATCTGTAAAATGGCACTAATTATATCTTACCCTATCTGCTGCCCATGAATGTAGTGAGAATATAAGGAGATGATACAGAAGCCAGCATTTAGAACTGATCTAGTTCCCGAGAAAAAATGTGGGGTGCTGTAACTATTCTTATTACTAAGTGATAAGAATCCATTTTTTTTTTTGAGATGGAATCTCACCCTGTCACCAGGCTGTAGTTCAGTGGCACGATCTCAGCTCACTGCAACCTCCACCTCCCAGGTTCAAGCAATTCTTCTGCCTCAGCCTCCCAAATAGCTGGGACTACAGGTGCCCGCCACCACACCCAGTGAATTTTTGCATTTTTGGTAGAGATGTGGTTTCACCATGTTGGCCAGGATGATCTCGATCTCTTGACCTCATGATCTGCCTGCCTTGGCCTCCCAAAGTGCTGGGATTACAGGCGTGAACCACCACACCTGGCCAGCCATTTTCTTTCTTTCTCTATCTCAGTGTTTCACTAAGGATGGAATGTTTACCTCTGAATGTAATCAAGATGACTTGGGGTGATATATGATATAAATATTTATCACATTTTAATTATCATATGTAGATACTTATTTTCACATATATTAGAAAAATATTGTTTTTTTTCTACATGTGAAAACAGTTTTTATAAAGAACATTTAAAATATTTATGTGCCACAGGTTGATGAATAAAATAGTGAAGGTAAAGTCTACATATGGCAAACAAAAAAAAAATTTAGGGTGCTACCAAAATACCTGAAGTTTGGGGAAACTTTAGAGTTTAACTATTAAGGAAGTGATTAGAGAAACTATTAGGGAAGCTTGTCAAAATGCAGATTCTTAGGCATCACACTGCTATGTTCTGATCCACTTGACTGTGTTGGGGCCTGGAACCCACACTTTTAACAAGCAGCTCAAGAGATTTTGAGGTAGTTGGTATAAAGTCCACATTTTGAGGAACATTGCTCCTGCTATAGTAGTTCTCTACTGCTGCATAAGAAATTACCCCCAAAACTTAGCATCTTTAAAAAAATTAACAATTGTTATCCCACACAGTTTCTGTGAGTCAGGAATCCACCAAGAGCAGCTGAGTTGGCTGGCTATTGCTCAGGGCCTTTTATGAGGTTGTAGCCAGATGTTGGCTATGGCTGTGGTCTCATCTGAAGACTTGACTGGGGCTGGAGGATCCACTTTCAAGATGGTGCACTCACGTGATTGGCAAGTTGGTAATGGCTGTTGGCAGAAGGCCTCAGTTCCTTGCCACATGGACCTCTCCATAATGCTGCCTGGGCATCTTCACAACATGGTGACTGGCTTTTCCCAGAGCAAGTGTTTCAAGAAAAAGCAAAGTGGAAGCAACAATGTATTTTATGACCTGGCTTTGGAATTCACATAGCATCACTCTCACAATAGTTTTTTCAATGTGAGATGTGAATTCAGAACATGGGGGATCATTGGGGACATATCTTTGAGGCTACCACACTCAGCTTTTCTCCCATATTGCCCTACATGGTCAAAATTCTCAGAAGAGGCAGTGGAGAAAGAACCAGATTCTCTACCAGGAAATGGGGTGTCTGGTTCCAGTTCTGCCCTCATTTAAACTCTCAGGTCCTCTGTTTCCTCATCAGTCAACTGAGCTGGCCTCTGATAGTCTCTTCAGTTTAGGACCTTCCAGATTAGAAAGAAAACAATTGTTTCCTTAAGATTAGATGTTTTGCAAAGCAATGTGCTGAAGACTTATGGGATTTCTGTTTTAACAGGATGAGGTGACTTTCAGGCAAATGCAATTCTTGCTGGGGAAAACAACCCATAAATTAACAACAAATAGGAGGAAACATGCACAATTAATCACATCCAAGTTCCTGAAAGCTTGCTGGGGCTTCATGATTTAAGAAAATGAATATGGCCAGGTGTGGTGGCTCACTCATGTAATCCCAGCACTTTGGGAGGCTGAGGCAGGTGGATCACGAGCTCAGGAGTTTGAGACCAGCCTGGCCAACGTGGTGAAACCCCATCTCTACTTAAAATATGAAAATTAGCCAGGCATGGTGGTGCGTGCCTGTTGTCCCACCTATTCCAGAGGCTGAGGCAGAGGAATCGCTTGAACCTGGTAGGTGGAGGTTGCAGTGAGCCAAGATAGTGCCACTGCACTCCAGCCTGGGTGACAGAGCGAAACTCCATTTCAAAAAAAAAAAGAAAAAAGAAAAAGAAAATGAATATATGTGAAGTATGAACTTATCAATCATATAAATTAGATGATGCCTATTCCATGGCAAATTATTTTTTTAAAGAATTTATCATGGCATTCCTTGAAGAGCTACTTTGGAAGGTCGAACTGTGAGTTTACTATTGTGAAGATCTGAGGTAAGAAAAGCTTTGAAGTGGGGTTTTAGGATCCCTCTGTCAATTGAAGCACAACCAGAAAAAAATAGTTTGAATTACAAAGATTGTGACAATTCAGAATGACTGCATAAAGAAAGACAAACTTATAGAGTATCTCTCAAATTATTTTTTAATTATAAAAAAATTGTAGAAACTCAAATAATATGAAACAGCATTCAGGAGAAAATTAAAATTACTAGTAATTTTACCACAGAGAGATAACCCAGAGTGACCACTTAAGAGGCATATCCTTTTAGTCATTTTTCTGTTCAAGGACACCCACACATAGGTATCTTCATACGAGATTGTGACCACATTTATTGTATTAGCTGACCTTCTTTTTTCACTTTGTATAAACTTCTGATGAGCTTTTTTTTTTCCAAAAGGAATGTCAATTTTGATGCTGTGTTTCCATTATGTTTTTCAAGTTTAAAATTATTTTTTGAATAAATATTGCATGGAGATGGTACAAAATTCACTAAGAACAAAAAGATGTTCCTTTCTGTCCTCAGTCATACGGTTCTTTTCCCAAAGGCAAGCAATGTGTGCTCCCAGTTACTTATTTATCCCTACAATTATAAATGCCTAATCTTTTATTCTCTCACACAAATGATAGCATTTTGCCCATTTTTCTGCACCCTCCTATTTTCTCTTAACAAAACATCTGAGCACCTTTCCTAACAATACGGAAAGAGCTGGCTCATTGTTTTCATAGCTACATAGTACTCTCCTGTGTGGGTATATAATAATTTTGCTGGATATTTAAATTGCTTCCAATCCCTTATTATTAAAAACAATGTTACAGAACATTATACTCAATGGTGAGAGACTAAAAGCTTTTCCTCTAAAATCAGGAACAAGATAAGGATGCTTGCTTTCACAACTTCTATTTAACGTAGTACTGGAAGTTCTAGCCACAGCAATTAGGCAAGAAAAAGACATAAAAGGCATCCAAATCAGAAAGAAAGAAGCAAAATTATCATTGTTTTCAGATGATATGATTTCATATGCAGAAAACCTTAAAGAGTCCAGAAAAAAGCTGTTAGAACTAATAAATTAATTCAGCAAAGTAGCAGGATACAAAGAAAGTCAATACACAAGAATCCATTGCATTTCTAGATACTAACAATGAATAATCTGAAAAAGAAGTGACAAAAACTATTTCATTTACAATAGCACCAAAAAGAATGAAATACTTAGGAATTAACCAAGGAAGTGAAAGACTTTTACAATGAAAATCACAAAATATTGCTGAAAGAAATTAAAGAAGACATAATGGAAACACATCCCAAGTCCATGGATTGGAAGAATTAATATCGTTAAAATGTCAATACTACCCAAAGTGATCTGTAGAGTAAATACAATCTCTGTCAAAATCCCGTTTACTTTTTGAAGAACTAGAAAAACCCATTCTAAATTCGTGTGGACTCTCAAGGGACCCCAAATAGCCAAAACAACCTGAGAAAGACAAGCTAGGCTGAAGGACTCACTCTTTCTAATTTCATAACTTACTACAAAGCCACACTAATCAAAACAGTATGATACTGGCATAAGATAGGCATATAGACCAATGAAGCCCAAATACAAACTCTCTGGTATATGGTCAAAATGACTTTTGACAAGAGTACCAATACGATTGAATGGGAAAAGGACAGTCTTCATCAAATAGTTCTGGGAAAACTGGATATCTATGTGCAAAAGAATGAAGTTGCCCCTTACCTAACAACACATACAAAAGTTAATTCAAAATGGGTAAATACCAAAATGCAAGACCTAAAATGATAAAACTCTTGGAAAATAATATAGGGCAAAACCTTTGTGACATTGGATTTGGCAGTGATTTCTTGGATATGACACCAAAGACACAGGCAACAACAACAAAAAATTGGCAAATTGGACTTCATGAAAATTTAAAACTTTTGCGCATCAAAAGACACTATCAAGAGTAAGAAAGCAACCCACAGAATAGGAGGATATCTTTGAAAAATTTTATATCTGATAAGAAATTAATATCCAGCAATTTCAGGTTGGGTACATATCCAAATGCATTGAAAGCAGGATCTTGAAGAGATATTTGTATATACCCATGTTCATAACAACATTATTCACAATAGCTAAAACATAGGTAGCAACCCGTGTCCATCAACAAAAGAGTGGATAAGCAGAATGTGGTATACAATGAGGAATAGTGTTCAGCCTTAAAAAGGAAGGAAATTCTGCAATATGCCACACCATAAATGAACCTTGAGGACATTATGCTAAGTGAAGTAAGCCAGACACAAAAAGACAAATTACTGTATGATTCCACTTATGTGAGATACTTAGAGTAGTTGAATAAATAGAGACAAAATGTAGAATAGTGGTTGCTAGGAACTGAGGAGCGTGTAGAATGAGGAGTTACTGTTTAACAGGTACAGAATTTTAGTTTTGCAGATGGAGAGTTCTGGAGATGGATGGTGGTGATGGTTACACAACATTATGAATGTCTTTCAATACCACTGAACTGCACACTTAAGAATGGTTGTCCAGACATGGTGGCTCACGCCTGCGATCTGAGCAGTTTGGGAGGCTGAGGTGGGAGGATTGTGTGAGGCCAGGAGTTTGACACCAGCCTGGGCAACATAGTGAGACCCCATCTCTACAAAAAAAGAAAAATCAGCCAGGCACAAAGGCTCGTGTCTGTAGTCCTAGCTACTCGCGAGGCTAGGGTGGAAGGATCATCTGAGCTCTGGAGTTCAAGGCTGCAGTGAGCTGTGATAATGCCACTGCACTCCAGCCTGGGCAACAGAGTGAGACTCTTTCTCTAAAAATAAAAATAAAAAAAAGAATGATTAAGATGACAAATTTTATGTTATATGTACTTTGCCACAATAAAAAAAAATGGAAAAATCCTCTCAAATGCTGTAATAAATATGTTTATTCTTCTACATATGTGATACTTTGTCACTGAGTATGCAGATTTGTAATTCTGATAAACATCCAAATTGCTCTACCTATACCTCTCACAGAGATACCCAAGTTTTCCTGTTTACCCATATACCATCATCATTATGTTATCACACTTTTTCATGCTTTATTAATCTGATGGGGGAAAAAATGTTTTCTGATTATAGTTTTAATCTGCATTCTTTTCATTACCAAGTAAGGTCAAACATCTTTTTTTTTTTTTTTTTTTTTTTCTGTTACCCAGGCTAGAGTGCAGTGGCGCAATCTCTGCTCACTGCAACCTCCGCCTCCCGGGTTCTAAGCGATTCTCCTGACTCAGCCTCCTGAGTAGCTGGGATTATAGGCATGTACTACCATGCCTGGCTAATTTTTGTATTTTTAGTAGAGACGGGGTTTCACCATGTTGGCCAGGCTGGTCTTGAATTCCTGACCTCGGGTGATCCACCCGCCTCGGCCTCCCAAAGTGCTGGGATTACAGGCGTGAGCCACTGCGCCCGCCCAAACATCTTTCCAAAGGGATAAGAGGTACTTATGTTCCATTTCCTATCCTCTCTTTAGCCCATTCTCAGGTGTTAATGAGATCCCAGCTAAAATCAGGGCTGGGTTGCTCCATATGCCCAGGCAGTGTCTTGAAACCAACAGAAATGTGGGGTGCAGATCACAGTGGGGGTGGGGGGTGATGGTCCCAGCCTGAGGGCTCAGGTCGGAGGCAGAATTGTCCAGCTTAAGACACAGGCCTTAGAATCACACAGACCCGCCTGCCATACTGTCTGGTCACAAACCCACAGTATGACCTTGGCCAAGTCAATTCACTTCTCCGGGCTTTAGCTTCCTCTTCTATGAAATGGGATTTTAATAGAACCCACTAGGAGGGGCTGTTGGGAGGATGAAACAGGGCAGTGCATGTAGGTACCTAGCATGGGGTCTTGTCGGTAACAAGTTTTGGCAGGTGGTTGCAATCAGTATGTTTCAGGTGAGGAAACTGTGACCCCATTGTACCAGTCAGGGTTCTCCAGAGAAACAGAATCAATAGAACGCGTGTGTATGTGTGTGTATGCACACGTATAGATCATATAGATACAGACATAGACACATAGACGTAGAACTAGACATAGCTATACATGTAGACATAGATATAGATATAGGAGTGAGCCTTAAAGAATTGGCTCACACAGTTGTGGAAGCTAGCAAGTCCAAAATCTATAGAGTGTGCCAGAAAGCTGGAGACCTATGGAAAAAGCCAGTGTTGCAATTCAGGCAGTCTGCAAGCAGAATTCCCTCTTATTCTTCCCTCTTGCTTGGGGGAAGTCAGTCTTTTTTTTTTTTTTTTTTTTTTTTTTTTAGATGGAGTCTCACTCTGTTGCTAGGCTGGAGTGCAGTGGCGCGATCTTGGCTCACTGGAACCTCCGCCCCCCCGGGTTTAAGTGATTCCCCTGCCTCAGCCTCCCTAGTACCTGGGACTACAGGCACATGCCACCACACCTGGCTAATTTTTATTATTATTATTTTGTATTTTAGTAGAGACAGCGTTTCACCATGTTGGCCAGGATGGTCTCGATCTCCTGACCTCGTGATCTGCCCACCTCAGCCTCCCACAGTGCTGGGATTACGGGCGTGAGCCATTGCACCCAGCCCAGTCTTTTTTTTTTTTTCTTCCTCTTCAGGCCTTCAATTAATTGGATGAGGCCCACCCACTATTTGGAGGGCAAGCTATTTTACTCAAAAGTCCACCAATTTAAATGTTAATCTCATCCAAAAACCATCTCACAGAAACATCCAGACTAATGTCTGACCAACTATCTGGCCACTTTGGCCTAGCCAAAGTTGACAATTAAACTTAACCATCACACCCAGGGAAAAAGATGAATTGCCTAGGATCACATAGCCAGCCAGCTGGAAGGTCTGTTTTGTTGTTGTTGCTGCTGTTGTTGTTGTTGAAATGGAGTCTCACTTTGTCGCCCAGGCTGGAGTGCAGTAGTGCGATCTTGGCTCACTGCCACCTCCACCTCCCAGGTTCAAGCAATCCTCCCACCTCAGCCTCCCGAGTAGCTAGGATTACAGGTGTGCGCCATCATGCCCAGCTAATTTTTGTATTTTTAGTAGAGACGGGGTTTCACCATGTTGGCCAGGCTGGTCTCGAACTCCTGACCTCAGGTGATCCACCCGCCTGGGCCTCCCAAAGTGGTGGGATTACAGGGGTTGAGCCACTGCGCCCGGCCAGCTGGAAGTTTTGATCCAGACCTCAAACCAAAGATTTTTTATTTCATTGACTAGGGTGACCACGTATTTGGAGACAGTCTCAGTTCAACACCTGTGGTCCCAGCATAATTCTTAGTAAAACCACCTTTTACTCCTCCAACGGGTTTAGTGTGAACAACAGAGGTGGATGCATTTTTTTTTTTTAACCGAGGAAACCCTTCTTATGTTCATTCAACATTTATTCACCTAAGAGACGATGTTTACCCTACACTTCATCCTCTTCTGGCCTTGAGGTCAACCCACAAACTTGTCTGGGGAGAAGGGTGAATCAGTGCTAAGAATGTGCTGCCAACATAATTGAGACCATGGTCAGCGGATCAATGGGAAAAAACAAGAGCTACAACAAACAGTTCTGACATGCTGTGTGAGGTGGAATTTAAATGATTTTGAGACATTTATTATTGTTTTGTTTTGGCCCCCAAAACAACCGCATGAGGAAAAAATAAACAGAAATCTTGTGAGTGTTTGAATCTTTCTGTGTTTATTCTTTCTACCTGTGGACAAACACAAATACATTATACATGTTCATGTGAAAGCATCTTGTTTTTCCAGACCGGACACTAAGACCCAGCGCTGAGGACAAAAGGAAGCAAGCTCTGCATATTTGAAGTGTTGCAAACTAGGGTCCATCCTCTGGGCCAGCCCTCTCCTCTAGTGACTTACTCAGAGTGTGTTGGGTAAGTGTGGCATTTAAAGAGAGGGTACTTTGGGAGGCCAAGGTGGGTGGATCACTTGAGCCCAGGAGTTCGAGACCAGTCTGGGCAACATGGTGAAACCCTCTGCCTCTACAAAAAATACAAAAAATTAGCTAGACTAATTTTAGTATTCACCCAGCCAGCTAAAGTGGTGGTTCTCAAAGTGCAGTCTGCAGGCTCCCTAAGGGTGCTCAAGACCCTTTTAGGAGGTTCACTGGGTCAGAATTTTTCATAATAATACTAAGCCCTTCCCATTCCCATTCACTCACCAGTGTATCTCGGAGTTTTCCAGAGGCCGTACAATGAGTGATGTGATCATGGGTCTGACGTCTAATAGAATGCCTACTTTTTTTTTTTTTTTTTTGAGACATGGTCTTGCTCTGTTGGCCAGGCTGTGTGGTGGAGTGCAGTGGCACAATCATGGCTCACTGCAACCTCTAACTCCTGGGCTCAAGCAATCCTCCCACCTCAGCCTCCCAAGTAGCTGGGACTAGAGGTGTGTGCCACCAAACCCAGCTAAATTTTGTATTTTTGTAGAGACAGGGTTTCACCATGTTGCCCAGACTCGTCTCAGACTCCTGGGTTCAAGGGGTCCACTCACCCTCAGTCACCCAAAGTGCCGGGATTATAGGTGTGAGCCATCGCGCCTGGCCTGCTTCAGTATTGTTGGGTTTTAAATATTTCTGTTTCCATCAGTGATTGCCAGGGGTTGAAGGGGGGTGGAGGGGGGTGAGTACCAAGGGCCAGGGGGTCACTTGTGGGCAGTGGTGATTCCGTATCTTGATTCACCTGAGGTCAGGAGTTCGAGACCAGCCTGGCCAACATGGCGAAACCCCATCTCTACTAAAAATACAAAAATTAGCCAGGCGTGGTGGCACGCACCTGAAGTCCCAGCTACTCAGGAGGCTAAGGCAGGAGAATGGCTTGAACCTGGGAGGTGGAGGTTGTAGTGAGCCAAGATCGCCCTACTGCACTCCAGCCTGGGCAACAGAGTGAGACTCTGTCTCAAAAAAAAAAAAAACAAAAAAAGAAAGAAAAAGAAAAACCGGATGTAAAACAGTTTATTCTTTAAGTGCAGGGGTGTGTAACGCAATCCTTGCTTGGCATGACCTTAGATCCTGTTTATAATTTGGTATCTTATTGCCACAAACAGTCCATTCTGTCTGTCTTATGATCACTGTTTCAACATTAAGGCTGGTCAGCTGTTGTGTCTAAACTTCTAAGGAAGAGGGTATAAGGAGGCATGTCTGACCTCTCATCTCATTATGGCTGGGAACTCAGTGTTTAAGGTTTCTTGAAGGTCCCCTTGGCCAAGAGGGGGCCCATTCAGTCAGTTGGCGGGGCTTAGGATTTTTAGTTTACATTCTGCTCACTGGAGTAGCACTTTTAATTTCCTTCAGGAAATTTTCCTTTGAATTCACAACTTGACTAAATGTTTGGTGCAAGAAGTCTTGCTTTCAGCCTATCCTGACTTTTGACACACCTTCCTCACTGAGCTTAATCATTTCTAGCTTTTGATTTAAAGTGAGAGATGTGCGACTCTTCCTATCCCTCGAACATTTAGAGGCGTGGACTGAAATTCAATATTGTTGTGTCTTACAGGCTAGGGAGACCTGAGAAGAGTGAGAGAGAGGGGGGAACAGCCAGTCAGTGGAGCACTTGGAACATACACAATACCGATTAAGTTGGCTGGTTTACCTGAATGCTGTTTGTGGCACCCCAAAACAATTACAATAGTAACATTAAGGATCACTGATCACAGATCACCTTAATAGGTGTAATAATAATGAAAAACTTTGGGACCAGGCACGGTGGCTCACGCCTGTAATCCCAGCACTTTGGGAGGCCAGGGCAAGCATATCTCCTGAGGTCAGGAGTTCGAAACCAGCCTGGCCAACACAGTGGAACCCCATCTCTACTAAAAACGCTAAAATTAGCCAGGCATGGTGGCGCGTGCCTGTAATTCCAGCTATTTGGGTGGCTGAGGCACGAAAATCGCTTGAACCCCAGGAGGTGGAGGTTGCAGTGAGCCAAGATTGCGCCACTGCACTCCAGCCTGCATGACAGAGTGAGGCATTATTGCAAAAAAGAAAAGAAAAAAAAAAGTTTGAAATATTACAAGAATTACCAGGATGTGGTACAGAGACACGAAGTGAGCACATGCTGTTGAAAATGGTGCCAATAGACTTGCTGTAGTCAGGTAGCCACAAACCTTGAACTTGTAAAAATGCAGTATCTTCGAAGCACAATAAAGTGAAGTGCAATAAAACAAGATATGCCGGGCGGGGCACGGTGGCTCACACCTGTAATCCCAGAACTTTGGGAGGCCAAGGTGGGTGGATCACAAGGTCAGGAGTTCAAGAGCAGCCTGGCCAATATGGTGAAACCCTGTCTCTACTAAAAATACAAAAATTAACTGGGCGTGGTGGCGGGAGCCTGTAGTCCCAGCTACTCGGGAGGCTGAGACAGGAGAATCACTTGAACCCGGGAGGCGGAGCTTGCAGTGAGCTGAGATCACGCCACTGCACTCCAGCCTGGGCCACAGAGCGAGCCTCCATCTCAAAAACAAACAACAACAACAAAAAAACAAGATATACCTATATACCTCAATTTTAAGGAAACAAAAATTCTCAATTTTAATTTCTAACAGAGTACAGTTAGATATAAACAAAATCCCTCAATCCTTTTTAAGCGTACAAAGAGATCCGGAGAACAAAAACTTTGAGAACTACTGATCTAATGCATTGATTTCTTTTGTTTTGTTTCTGTAGTTGGGGCTACAGGTATGCGACACCACCCCCAGCATGAATGCAATTACTCAGTCTGGAGTCGGAGAAAGCGATTGAAAGGGAGGGAAAAATCTTGCTGGCTCTAATGCTTTATAAACTGTGCTGTCCAATACGGTAGCTGCTGGCCACTTGGGGCTATTGAGCACATGAAAAGTGGGTACTCCAAACTGAGAGGTACTTAGTACCAAAAAACAAAAAAATAATGGGCCGGGCGCGGTGGCTCACACCTGTAATCCCAACACTTTGGGAGCCCGAGGCGGATGGATCACGAGGTCAGGAGTTCAAGCAGCCTGACCAACATGGTGAAACCCCGTCTCTACTAAAAATACAAAAAAATTAGCCGGGCGTGGTGGTGTGCACCTGTAATCCCAGCTACTCAGGAGGCTGAGGCAGGATAATCGCTTGAACCTGAGAGGCGAGATCGTGCCATTGCACTGCAGCCTGGGCGGCAGAGCAAGACTCCATCTCAAAAAAAAAAGAATGTAAATTATCTCATCAATAATTTTCACATAGAAATGACATATTTTGTTTTTCTTTTCTTTGTTTTTCGGTAGCCATGGGTTCTTGCTATGTTGCCCAGGTGGCCTTGGACTCTGGGCCTGAAGCCATCCTCTCACCTGGCCTCCCAAAGTGCTGGGATTATAGGCATAAGCCACTGCACCTGCCCCAATATTTTGAACATATTGGGTCAAGGAAAAAATATGGTTAAAATTAATTTTACCTCTTGCTTTTTTTTTTTTTTTTTTTTTTTTTGATGCTGAATCTCTCTCTGTTGCCCAGGCTGGAGTGCAGTGGTGTGATCTCAGCTCACTGCAGCCTCCGCCTCCCAGGTTCTAGCGATTCTCCCGCCTCAGCCTCCCGAGTAGCTGGGATTACAGGCACGCGCCACCACACCTGGCTGATTTTTGTATTTTTTAGTAGAGACGGGGTTTCACCATATTGGCCATGCTGGTCTCGAACTCCTGACCTCAAGCAATCCGTGCCCCCCACCCCCACCCCCCGGCCTCCCAAAGTGCTGGGATTACAAGTATGAGCCATCGCACCTGACCTCTTTTTTTTTTTTTTTGAGATGGAGTCTGGTTCTGTCACCCAGGCTGGAATGCAGTGGCATGATCTTGGCTCAGTGCAACCTCCACCACCACGGTTCAAGCAATTCTCCTGCCTCAGCCTCCTGAGTAGCTGGAATTACAGGAGCCTGCCACCACGCCCGGCTAATTTTTGTATTTTTAGTAGAGATGGGGTTTCACCATGTTGGCCAAGCTGGTCTCGAACTCTTGACCTCAGGTGATCCACCAGCCTCGTTCTCCCAAAGTGCTGGGATTACAGGCGTGAGCCACGGCGTCTGGCCTACCTCCTGCTTTTCACTTTAATGTGGCTACTGGAAAATGTAAAATTACCTATGTGGCTCCTGTATATTTCTGTTGGAGAGTGCCATTCTGGAGACAGACAGACCGAACTGCCAATCTCTGTTTCACCACTTACAAGCTGCGTCAAAAAACTTACTATTTCTTCAAATTTCCTGGGTTCCCTGGGATGTAAAATGTGGGTAATGTTAGAGTTGGTGTGAATATTAAATGTAAATAATGAATGTAACATACTTAGCTCTATACCTGGCACCCAAGTAAACAATAAGTTTGTTGGCTATTAAAGACGTTGATTTCTCTACTGATATCGTCAGAGATGGGCCTCATGCTCATTAAAGTTCCTTCCTCTGCGACCTATTTCCACTCTGGCCACAATAATAACTAATTATAGCAGAGGCCTGACCCGACTTTCGGCTGTTGGCCTCCCTTCCCCACATCGAAAAATTCAAATCATGACCCAGGGTCCATCCTAGAAGTGTGCCATCTGTATTTATGAATGGAGCCTAAGCAAATCTGAAAACCAAGCAGCCCCAGGCAACTGAGCCCAGCGTAGCAACCGACGCCGGGGCCTGTTGCTAAGGGAAAAGAAAGAAAGGACGTGGTCCGTCAGCTATTGCTCTCCGGGGGCAGCTACTTCCGGTCCCCCTGGGAGCTGTCCTGCGGTCTACGTTCCCCCGAGGTGCTGGGACTGCGGCCGCAGGTTCCGCTGTCTCGGGAACCGTCGTATCCCTCGGTCCGGCGGCGGCGGCGGCGGTAGCGGAGGAGACGGTTTCAGGCCTCCGGTGCGGCTGCAATGCTGAGCTCCCGGGCCGAGGCGGCGATGACCGCGGCCGACAGGGCCATCCAGCGCTTCCTGCGGACCGGGGCGGCCGTCAGGTGAGATTTTGGGGGGCGGGGCTGCCGAAGAGGCCGGGACCAGGGTCCCCAGCTTGGGCCCGTGACGGCTTTTTCATGCCCTAGTTGGGGTCTCCAGGGCCCGCGCGGGCATTCTGGAAGGTTCTGCGTCCTTTAGGGTTGGAGGCCTGGGCCCGTAGGTGGGAGGACTGACGGGCTCCAGTCCTTCGGCAACACCAATTCTGTCTGCACTCCCCAGGTCTGTCAGTCCCTCCCCCTCCTGTCATTGTTCCCAGGACACCCGGGGCACTCCAGTCTTGTCAAGGCCCCTAATTCTGTCAGTGCCCTCAGTCCTTTCAGTGCCTCCTAGGCCTGCCAAGACCCCTCAATCCTTCTAGTATACCCCCAGTCCTTCTGGGTCCCCCAATCATATCAGTTTCTGGACTGCCAGGGTTCCCCAACCTTGGCACGGTTCTTCTAGTCCTATAAGTGCCCCGGGCCTGCGAGCCCCGCGTTTTGTTAGTACCGCCCCCTATTCCTGTTAGCCCGCCCTCTAGTCTAATATGGATCGCCACTTCTGTCTGGGTCCCTGATGTTGTTAGTGTGAGTAAAGGCCCTTGTTTTGCAAGGGTCTCTAAATTGGTCAGGGCCCCTTTAACCTGTTAAGGTTGCTTGGTCCTGTTAAAGCCCTCCGTTCTTGTTAGGACTCCTCGATTGCCTGGGTCCCCAATCCTGTCAGGGCCCCCATTTCCCTCTTATTCACCCTCCCAAGGGCTCCAGGCTTCAGAACTGAGTACCCCCTCCCCCACTGCTGACCCCAAATGACTGAGACCTGTTGCTCAGGTCGGCTTCCTCTGGAACTGGAGCAGGTTTAAAGAGCTTATTATCCCAGGGCTGAAAGTCCTCGATACTTATCCTGTCCAGTGCCCCCATTCCGTAGATAGGAAGTGTGGCCCCATAGCTGACCTCATAGCAGAGTTGGGAGGAGAAGCCAGATCTTTTCATCCGCAGGCCCCACCACTCTCCTCGTGATGTCATTTTGCAGAGGAATGGAGTTTCCAAAGTCGCCACTTGTCCCTGGGTATTTTTTCCTTATGCTGCCAAAGTCATGGACAAGTCCTCTCTCCCATCCCCTTGACACTCTTCCCTTCAGTTTCCATCTTGAACTTCGTGGTTTTAAGCACAGACCTGGGGAGACAGACAGGCATGATTCAGAGCCATGTTCCTTCACTCACTGTGACCAAGTTGGGCTCTTAGTTTCTTCTGCTATAAAAATGAAAGTGATAGTAGAACCTGCATCTGTGGGGTTGTTTTAAAAATGAGGTAAGATTGTCACAGGGCCTGGCAGAGAGTATGTACCCTTAAATATTAGTGTTTGATTAGGGGATTTTAAAGCACTGGTAAAGCACCTTAGCACTTCCATGACAGTCCTTTATAATCTTTCCAGGCACTTTTGTGAACTCACGTATCGTGTAAAAGCACAGTGATGTATTAAGAAACTTCAAGAATACCTTTCACCAGCTGGGCATGGTGGCTCACACCTGTAATCCCAGCTCTTTGGAAGGCTGAGGCAGGTGGATTTCTTGAGCTCAGGAGTTCGAGACCAGCCTGGGCAATGTAGTGAGACCCTGTCTCTACAAAAAAATTTAAAAATTACCTGGGCATGTGGTGTGCAGCTGTGGTCCCAGCTACTTGGGAGGCTGAGGCAGGAGGATCACCTGAGCCCGGAAGGTGAAGATTGTGTTGAGCTGAGATGGCACCACTGCACTCCAGCCTGGGCACTAGAGCAACTAGAGCAAGACACTGTCTCAAAAAAAAATAAAAATAAAAATAAGAAAAAAAGAAAGAATAGCTTTCATGAATGATCCTGAGATTGTAATGCTTAATTTGTAGCAGCTAACATTTATTAAGTTCTTACTATGTACTGTATGCATTCACACTTATTTAATCCTCACAACAGCCCTATGAGGTAGGTCTTATGGATTGTCCCCATTGTACAGATGAGGAAACTGAGGCTTAGAAGGTGAAGTGATGCCAAATGAAATAGCAAAGCCAGGATTGAACCAGAATAAGGTAATCCCACTTTCTTAACCAAGTTTGGTGCATATTCTGTTGACTCTGTCTTGGAAAACAAATATTTATCTGAAATTCAGCTATCAGCTATGATACTAAGAAATGCTGATTATTATAAAACAGGGTCAATATTACCACCAGTGACTCTTCACCAAGTTAATGTTTACTGAACTGAAATCAAAACAATATTCACATGATCCAAATACTGGGATAATAATGTATTACACACACACACACACAAACACGTATGTATGCATGTGTAACATATATGCAGATACACATTACATAGCTATATACACATAGATGGTTTGTCTTATTTTGTAGAAATATATAACTTTGTATAAAAACAATGTTTTAAATTGTTGGGGAAATTTCTTAATATGTAGCAAAAGCATAACCAGCGTTCAAGTCAAGCCTGAAGTTAGGAAATCTTTAATTTTATAAATATTCAGCTCTTTTATACCATTGTATGTGTGCCCCTTCCCTGTCTAATATTCTAAAAGAGAAATTCATTTCTGTATATTTTCTCCAGTATTCAGTCATTCAATAAATATTTTATATATATATACACACACACATATATATACATATATATATATATATATATATTTTTTTTTTTTTTTTTTTTGAGGCAGAGTCTCGCTCAGTCACCCAGGCTGGAGTGCAGTGGCGCAATCTGGGCTCACTGTAACCTCCGCCTCTTGGACTCAAGCCATTCTGCCTCGGCCTCCAGAGTAGCTGGGATTACAGGCACCTGCCACCACACCCAGCTAATTTTTGTATTTTTAGTAGAGACAGGGTTTCACCGTGTTGGCCAGGCTGGTCTCCCACTGACCTCAGGTGATCCGCCCACCTCGGCCTCCCAAAGTGCTGGGATTACAGGCATGAGCCATCACACCTGGCCTCAATAAATATTATTGAGAACCTACTATGTGCTAAGTATGATCTAGACACTTGAGCTCATTAGTGGGTAAAACAAAGCACATGCCAGTTGAGGGAGACAGACAACAAACCCAGTGCATTAAAAAAAAAAAAAAGAAAAGAAAAAAAACATAGCGAATAGGTTAATTTTATGTTAGAAGGTGGTTAAGTTCTATGGTAAAAAGAAAAAGTAGAAACATGTCAAGGGGACAAGGACAGGTCCCACTGATATGTTCAGGTAGGCCTCTTGAGAAGCGAAGGGAGGTAAAGGAGTGAGCCAAGCAGTGATCTGGGGGAAGAGCATTCTGAGCAGAGGGAACAGCAGTGCAAACGCCTTGAGGTCAGAGCATTGGCTGGTAACGTTCCATGTGGAAGTGGAGTGAGAGGCAGAAAAGGAAAATAACTTCAGTTTTTCCTCAGAGTGAGAAGTAGCCTTTGGAATGTGATGATTTGACTTAGTTTTTGTTGTTGTTGTTGTTGTTGTTGTTGTTTTTTATGAGACTGAGTCTTTCTCTGTCACCTGGGCTGGAGTGCAATGGCACGATCTCAGCTCTGTGCAAACTCTGCCTCCCAGATTCAAGTGATTCTCCTGCCTCAGCCTCCCGAGTAGCTGGGATTACAGGTGCACATCACCACGGCCAGCTAATTTTTGTGTTTTTAGTAGAGACAGGGTTTCCACATGTTGCCCAGGCTGATCTCAAACTCTGGGGTTCAAAGGATCCTCCTGCCTTGACTTCCCAAAGTGCTGGGATTACAGGGATGAGCCACCGTGCCCAGCTGACTTAGATTTTAAATCCTAATGTCTAAACATCCTGATTTTCAAGATGTAATCCTATGACTATATGTTACTTTAACTTGCAATTAGGTATTTGGTGGGTTATTTTGACAAAATGTTATTCTGTCTATATCTGTATATTTGCCTTTTGTGTTTGTGTGAGGGAAGACAGTAAACTTGTTTTCTTTTTTAGATATAAAGTCATGAAGAACTGGGGAGTTATAGGTGGAATTGCTGCTGCTCTTGCAGCAGGAATATATGTTATTTGGGGTCCCATTACAGAAAGAAAGAAGCGTAGAAAAGGTAAGAATGAGAACACTGCATCATGGTCTGTAGACTTGACCCAGATCCCTGTTATCTGAAAACAGTACAAAGAAGGTGGGGAGGTTGGTCATATTTGTTCTCTGTATCTTTAAAATTAGGATTTCAGGTTTTCAAACAGTACTTTTACCGTTAGTCATTATTTTATACCATGTAGTAAAAAGATTTCTATTTCAGCCCCTCTCCAGACTGGAGTTGGAGGCATGCTTTGTAATGAAAAATGTCAAGCGGCATAATTGTCTAAGAAGTGTTCTCATTAGTACGGCAATTGTAGTTTTCAGTGGTACAGACTGACCAATTACATCATACATTTGTGTTCTCTCAGACTAGCTTGCTAGTAACTGGTAAAAATTTCAAGTTAGTGCCTTCATTACTAAAAAATTATTTTCTTTTTTTTTTTAATGCTCCCTTTTGAAAGTGTGGCTCTATGTAACATTGATTAAAATTCAGCAAAGAAAGAAAGAAGAATGTGGTGAAATTTGATCATTGTTAAATCTGGGGACAGTTATAATTGAGGTTTATTTTACATTCTCCCTCCTTTTTTTGTGTCTTTGAGAACTTTGATAATAAAAAGTTTTTTTAAAAGATTGCTAGCAGAAGAGAGAAGTATATTAGATTTCATTGATCTCTGCAGAAAGACTGATCAGAATTGGTATAGTGGTGTCTTTCCCAGTGATTGTTAAGATAAGAACAGAATCATTGTCCTGGGGAAGTAACAACAGAACAATTGTTTTCTTCTGTTCTGAGAAACATTGCTTTCTGATTAAAGAAGAAAGAGAGCATGTAGGGGAGAATGAGGAAGAGAAAAAGACAGGAGATGGTTACTAAGTGTTTTTGTACATTTAGGAAGAACCAAGCTGTGCTGGATACCATGATAGGTTTCAAAAATAACACACAAAGGGGACCTGTCCTTCTGTGCTTACAGTCTGCGGAGCAGTACTAGAACCAAGCCTTGGCACAGATAGAAGGCCTGGCCCCAGATCTCTGTGGATAAGGATCTTCTTGGATCGGGATTCCAAATTTAAGGCCACAGCGCAGGAACTCTGGGTCCCACATGGGAGAGAAATTGATCAAATGTGATATACTGTTCTCTTCTTCCCCCTGCTTTTTTTTTAGGGCTTGTGCCTGGCCTTGTTAATTTAGGGAACACCTGCTTCATGAACTCCCTGCTACAAGGCCTGTCTGCCTGTCCTGCTTTCATCAGGTGGCTGGAAGAGTTCACCTCCCAGTACTCCAGGGATCAGAAGGAGCCCCCCTCACACCAGTATTTATCCTTAACACTCTTGCACCTTCTGAAAGGTATCTAGATGGGAATTTCAAGGGAATTATGTACCTTTTCAAAGAAGTCCAGATGACAGAGACTCTTATAACAAAGAGTTAATACCTTATTGTAGGAAAAGATCATACAGATCATTATGAATAAACAACACCAAGAGCCCAATAGATACAAACAAGTATTTTTTAAAAATCAAAGATGGAGGCCGGGTGCAGTGGCTCATGCCTGTAATCCCAGTACTTTAGGAGGCCAAGGCAGGTGGATCACGAGGTCAGGAGTTCGAAACCAGCCTGACCAACATGGAGAAACTCCATCTCTACTAAAAACACAAAAAATATTATCTGGGCATGGTGGCACATGCCTGTAATCCCAGCTACTCAGGAGGCTGAGGCAGAAGAATCGCTTGAACCCGGGAGGCGGAGGTTGCGGTGAGCTGAGATCGCACCATTGCAGTCCAGCCTGAGCAACAAGAGCGAAACTCCGTCTCAAAAAAAAAAAAAAATCAAAGATGGAACCATTTATTTTTTAAATTGTCAAGTTAATAACAGCTTTTTAAGGAAGGAAAGAAATCCACTGCCACATAAACAGTTTCATCGTAAGAAGTATTCTGGTTTCAAAAACATTAAAGTAAAAAAAAAATGTCCGTTAGCCTAGAAAATAAGGTAATTCACAAAAGAAGTAATACAAATTGCTAACAAACTCAAATGTTCGACTCGACCATCATCAAAGAAGTATAAACAAAATAAAAATGCTGTTTTTTGCCTGTCAGCAAAGATTAAAAAACAAATTTGCAGCCCTGTCCAGCTGTTGGACAATACATCCATACACCGCTGAGAGGGGTGTAACTTAGTGCCACTTTTCTGGAAAGCAGTTTGGAACTACACAATAATAGCTTGCGAAATACTCAGTACTGTTTGACCCAGTAATTCCATGTCTGGGAGTCCGCCTTATGAAAATGGTTAGAAACGTAGATTGTGACTTAACTAGCCTGAAAAATGGAGTCTAAAAGCAAACAAGTTTAGGAATGGCTGAATGGTAGCCCCCAACTTGGAGAGTCACAATATACACTGGCTTGGTAAAGGTTTTAAGAAATAACCTACCCAACTTTTTTTTGTTTTTGTTTTTTGAGACAGAGTCTCACCTTTTTTTCCCAGCCTGGAGTGCAGTGGTACAATCTCAGCTCACTGCAACCTTCACCTCTCAGGTTCAAGTGATTCTTGTGCCTCAGCCTCCTGAGTAGCTGGGATGACAGGTCTGTGCCACCACACCCAGCTAATTTTTTGCATTTTTAGTTGAGACAGGGTCTTACTATGTTGGCCAGGCTAGTCTCAAACTCCTGGCCTCAAGTGGTATGCCTGCCTCAGCCTCCCAAAGTGCTGGAATTACAGGCATGAGCCACTACGCCTGGCCCCAACTTCATTTTTATTTTTATTTTATTTTATTTTTGAGACAGAGTCTTGTTCTGTTGCCCAGGCTGGAGTGCAGTAGCACGATCTCAGCTCACTGCAACCTCCGCCTCCCGGGTTCAAGCGATTCTTCTGCTTCAGCCTCCCTAGTATCTGGGATTACAGCTGCATGCCACCACGCCCGGCTAATGTTTGTATTTTTAGTAGAGACAGTGTTCGCCATGTTAGCCAGACATGTCTCGAACTCCTGACCTCAACTGATCTGCCTGCCTCAGCTCAAAGTGCTGGGATTACAGGCGTGAGCCACTGCACCTAGCCCAACTTCATTTTTAAACCAACTTTTTGACTGTAGAACTGTTTTTTTTCTTCATAAAATCTGCTGACATTCCATGGGTATTATACAGAGTGCAATGTATGCACAAAGATCTCCAACACCTAATTATAATGGCAAAAGGAAAGAATGTAGATATCAAACAGAATCATTAAGCAATCACCTGTGGCCATACTACCCTGAACTTACCTGATCTCATCAGACCTCGGAAGCTAAGCCGGGTAGTGGTTGGCTAGCACTTAGATGGGAAAATGATAAAGTAATCGATGGCATACAGCCATTAAGAATCACTTTTATGAAATTTTTTTTTAATTTGGGTGAGGGCATAGGCTGTAATATTAAATTTAAAGAGCAGCGTACAAAATATAATTTGACTTCATCAAGGTAGGAACTTCCACAGATAAAGACTGGACTGAAAAATGCTGAAATGTTAGCAGTGGCCATTTTGGTATTGTGCAGTCATTGGTAATTTTAAAATCATTTTTGGAAAAAAACTATACTTCAACTTTTAACAATAAGCATATATTGCTCTCACTGTAAGGAGAAAATTGGATTTAAAAAACATTCAGCTAAATCGTGCTTCACTGAGGTATTTTCCCATGTGAGCTCTGCTTGACACAGAAATCTTTATGAAGCAAGTGTACTTTTCTGTGGAAGAGGTGACTTGGGAATAATTTCTTTTACTATCCTGTTTTTTTAGCCCATTCCTGGTTTAGAAAAAAAAAATGTGCAACTCGCTGCCAGCGTTCATCTAATTTTACGTAAACATGCTCTTTGAGGCCGAAGCAAATCTGACTGATTTTAAATGCGAAAATAGAAAAACTGTTCTTGGAGTTCTTTCCTTTTTTTTTGAGATGAGTCTCGTCTTGTCACTCAGGCTGGAATGCAGTGGCGGGATCTCGGCTCACTGCAACCTCTGCCTCCCAGGTTCAAGCAATTCTCCTGCCTCAGCCTCCCGAGTAGCTGGGATTACAGGCATGCCCCACCACGCCTGGCTAGTTTTTGTATTTTTAGTAGAGACAGGGTTTCACCAGGCTGCTCTCGAACTCCTGACCTCAAGTGGTGCACCTGCCTTGGCCTCCCAAAGTGTTGGGATTACAGGCGTGAGCTACCATGCTTGGCCTTTTTAATTTTTTTAAAAAAATAGAGATGGGGTCTTGCTATGTTGACCAGGCTGGTCTCAAATTCCTGACCTCAAGTGATCCTCCCATCTTGGTCTCCCAAAGTGCTGGGATTACAGAGGTGAGCCACTGCACCCAGCCATGTTCATGGGAGTTATTTCTAAATAGAACTTGTCTCTAATCCTAATGTAACAGAAATGTATATGATGTTACATTAGGATTAAAGACAGGAGTATTCTTGGGGCAAATGGGAAATGGGTTAAAAACACCACTCCAAAGATTTTGTGAAAGCTGAAATGTCCACATGAGTTATCCTAACCCTGACCTCAGCACTGCCCTTATCCTTCACATGGGACCCAGTGCTGGGAGCCAGAGCCATCCTTGGGCTGCTGTCCCAGGATGTCTGCTCATTTCTCTGCTTCTGCTTTCCAATGTCTCTAACTTTGGTTTAAAAAAAAAAAAAAAAATTTTTTTTTTTTTTTAGACAGGGTTCTTCTGTCTGTCGCCCAGGCTGGAGTGCAGTGGCACAACCTCAGCTCACTGCAGCATCTGCCTCCCAGGCCCAAAACAATCCTCCATTTCCATTTCCCAGGTAGCTGGGACTACAGGCACATGCCACCAGGCCTGGCTAATTTTTTGTATTTTGAGTAGAGACAGGGTTTTGACTTGTTGCCCAGGCTGGTCTCGAACTCCTAAGCTCAAGCAATCTGCCTGCCTTGGCCTCCCAGAGTGCTGGGATTGCGGACATGAGCCACCATGCCTGGCCTATAAATAATTTTTTAATTATACAAGTAATGCATGAATCAGTTCTCTTTGTAAAAGATTAAAGCATTACAGAGAAGGCCAAAGTCCCCTTTATCAATACTCAACCCTGCTCCCCTCCACCTTTCCCAAAAGGAAGCTATAGGTGAATCCTTCCAGACCCTTTTCTGTGCATTTGAATACATTTCTATGCATCCATAGAAATTATATATTGTAGGTTTTTTTGTTTTCTGTTTTGTTTTTGTTTTGTTTTTTGGAGACAGGGTCTCACCCAAGCTGAAGTGCAGTGGTGCAGTCTCGGCTCACTGCACCTCAGCCTCCTGTGCTCAAGCTATCCTCCCACCCCAGCTTCCCAAGTAGCTGGGACTACAGGTGCGTGCTGCCACACCTGGCTAATTTTTGTATTTTTAGTAGAGATGGGGTTTCACACTGTTGCCTAGGCTGGTCTTGAACTCCTGGGCTCAGGTGATCCACCCGCCTCAGCCTCCCGTAGTGCTGGGATTACAGGCATGAACCACCACACCTGGCCTGTATATTGTTTTGTTCTGTTGGTGATTTACATGGCCAAATATAATACATTAGAGAAGCGTCCATTTTAGTACATGTAGCTCTACCTCCTTCACTTTTTTTTTTTTTTTTTTTTTTTTGAGACGGAGTCTCGCTCTGTCGCCCAGGCTGGAGTGCGGTGGCATGATCTCGGCTCACTGCAAGCTCCACCTCCTGGGTTCAAGCTAGTCTCCTGCCTCAGCCCCCCGAGTAGCTGGGATTATAGGCGCCATGCCTGGCTAATATTTTTGTATTTTTAGTAGAGACGGGGTTTCACCGTGTTAGCCAGGATGGTCTCAATCTCCTGACCTCGTGATCCGCCCGCCTTGGCCTCCCAAAGTGCTGGGATTACAGGCTTGAGCCACCGCGCCCAGCCTTTTTTTTCTTTTTTGAGTGTATTGGTCTTATAGTTTGTCTTCTGTGAATTGCTAGTTTATATCCTTTGCCTACTTTTTAAATTGTGGCAAAATATCCATAACATAAAATTTACCATTTTCAGCATATAGTTGAGTAGATTAAGTACAGCCACACTGTTGTGCAGCAGTCACGGCCATCCCTCTCTAGAACTCTTCATCATCCCGTACTGAAACTGTACCCATGAAACAGTAACTCCCACTCTCCCCTCCCCCTAGCCCTTGGTAACCACTGCCCTACTTTCTCTCTCTTTGAATTTGACTCAGACCTCATTAAGTCATGAGTTTCCTCATATTTATAAGATGTACCTCATTAAGCGGACTCATATAATATTCACCCTTTTGTAACTGGCTTATTTCACTTAATGTCTTCAGGGTTCATCCATGTTATACCATGTATCAGAATTTCATTCATTTTTAAGGCTGAATAATATTCTTTCTATTTTTTTTTTTAAGACAAAGTCTCATTCTGTCACCCAGGCTGGAGCGCAGTGGTGCGATCTTAGCTCACTGCCACTTCCGCCTTCCAGATTCAAGTGATTCTCCTGCCTCAGCCTTCCGAGTAGCTGGGATGACAGGCGTGCACCACCACACCTGGCTAATTTTTTGTATTTTTAGTAGAGACGGGGTTTTACCACATTGGCCAGGCTAATCTTGAACTCCTGACTTCAAGTGATCTGCCCACCTCAGCCTCCCAAAGTTCTGGGATTACAGGCGTGAGCCACCACGCCAGGCCTAGGCTGAATAATATTCTGTTGCATGTATATGCAGCATTTTGTTTGTCCCTCTGTCAGTCAGTGGACATTTGGCTTATTTTCATTCTTTGGCTATCATGAATAATGTTGCTGTGAACATTAGTGTCCAAATTCCCTGCTTTCAGTTATTTTCTGTAAACACTCAGAAGTAGAATTGCTGGATCAAATGGTAATTCTGTTTAATTTTTTGAGGAGCTGCTGTGCTGTTTTCCACAGATGGTGCACGATTTTATAATTCCACCAGCAATACATAAAAGTTCCAGTTTCTCCTCACCAACAGATATTATTTTCTGTTTTTATTGATAGTAGCCATCCTAATGGTATGGTAATTGCTTTAATTTGCATTTCCCTAATGATAAGTTATATTGAGCATCTTTTCATTTGCTTATTGGCCATTTTGTCTATCTTTTTGGGAGAAATGTCTGTTCAAGTCCTTTGCCCATTTTTGAATTGGGTTTCTTTTTTTTTTTTTTTTTTGAGAAGTCAGTCTGTTGCCAGGCTGGATTGCAGTGGCGCCATCTCAGCTCACTGCGACCTCCGCCTCCTGAGTTCTAAGCGATTCTCCTGCCTCAGCCTCCTGAGTAGCTGGGACTACAGGTGCATGCCACCACACCCAGCTAATTTTTGTATTTTTAGTAGAGACAGGGTTTCACCATGTTGGCCAGGATGGTCTCGATCTCTTGACCTTGTGATCTGCCTGTGTCAGGCCCCCAAAGTGCTGGGATTACAGGCATGAGCCACCACGCTCAGCATTGTTTGGTTTTTTGTTGTTGAGTTTTAGAAGTTCTGAGTTCATATATTCTGGGTATTAATCCCTTATCAGATGTGATTTGCAAACCTTGGTCACTTTTATTTTCTTCTTTGGGACAGAGTCTTGTTCTGTTGCCCAGACTGGAGTGCAGTGATGCAATCTCAGCTCACTGCAATCTCTGCCTCCAGGGTTCAAGTGATCCTCCTGCCACAGCTTCCCAAGTATTTAGGACAACAGGTGTGCACCCATCACCCCCGGCTAATTTTTGGGTGTTTGCTGTTGCTGTTTTTAATAGAGTTGATGGTTCACCATGTTGGCCAGGCTGGTCTTGAACTCCTGACCTGAAGTGATTAACCACCTCGGCCTCCCAGAGTGCTGGGATTACAGGCGTAGACCACTGCACCTGGCCTCATTCACTTTTACAGCTGCATAGTTTCCATAATGTCAAGACACCCCAGTTTATTCAGGCATTTGCTTCCAGCTCCTTGTCAAGATAAGCAGGCTACAGTGAACATCCTTATACATATCCCTTTATGCACCTAAGCATGCATTTCTCTAGGAAAAAAATTGCTGGATTGAGAAAGTAAAATTGCTGGATTGTACAATATGAAAATGTTAGTAGATATTGCCAAATTGCCCCATAGTATTTTAGACAAAGTTGGGTTAAAGGAGGCATTAAAATTTTCCTTTGGGGGGTAGTTGGTGGGGGGAGCTAACAGAAGGGCTGCCCGAGGGGTATGGGAGAAAGATGTGGTTCATTTCCCAACCCTGCTCCCTTTGTCCTGGGAGGGAAAGGGCTAGCCCCAGGGTATATACACACTGATGCAGAAGCCTGGACTTTATTATTATTTTTTTAAGTGAAAGCAAGTTTATTAAGAAAGTAAAGGAATAAAAGAATGGCTACTTCATAGGCAGAGCAGCCCAGAAGTCTGGGCTTTAAAGGAATCTTTCAAGCCCATTGACGGCAAGTCAGAAAGAAGAAACAGGCTGGCCTACTGTATCTTGGGAGTCACTGAACTTCCAGAAACTGCACTGAGAGGCAGGCTTCTGTATTTTTTTCTCTCACACTCTAGCAGTACTGGTCTAGTGTAACATGCTGGGAAGGAGGGTGGCCAAGATCAGGAGTCTGCACCTGATGGCTCATGGGCCAAATCCAGCCCACCACCTGTTTTTGTCAATAAAGTTTTATTGGAACACAGTCATGTCCATTTGTTTAGGTACTGCCTATGTCAGCCTCAAATAATCAAAGAGTTCGAGATCCAGCTAAAAGGGTTTATTGAAGCACAAAGTGTGAAGGCGGCTGTCTGGGGACACACAAATCCCAGGAAATGGTGATCAGTGCTCCCAGTGTGGGGAAAAGTGGGGATCATTTATATGACAAAAACGGAGGTACTGAACAGAATTATAACATTTTCCATACAATGGCTAACATACAGATGTAAGATTTGATTGGCTACTATGGATTACACTCTTAGGGGGTTGCCTACCATTCTGTTGTAAAGAGGTAATAATCACAAGGATCTCTATCTCCAGTCCATTCAGCCTAGGTTTGAGGGAAGAACAGGGAGTCTGGTTAACGTGTAACATCTCAACACAAAGGTCAGGAAGCAGTGGCCATGCGCCAGAGAAGAAAAGCAGCTGTGTTACATGACTGTTTCCAGCACTTTTTCCCTTGGCATAATGCATTTAGAAGGTCCTGAAATGTTATTTTCTTTTTACATCTATGGCTGCTTTTGTGCTGCAGTGGCAGAGTTGAGTAGTTGCAACAGAGACCATGTGGTCCACAAAGCCTAAGATGTGGCCAGGCACAGGGGCTCACACCTGTAATCCCAGCACGTTGGGAGGCCAAGGTGGGCAGATCACTTCACCCCAGAAATTCAAGACCAGCCTGGGCAACATGGTGAAACTCTGTCACTACAAAAAATACAAAAATTAGCTGAGCACAAGGACATGTGCCTGTAGTCCCAGCTGCTCAGGAGGCCAAGATGGGAGGATTGCTTGGGCCCAGGAGGTCAAGGCTGCAGTGAGCCAAGATCATGCCACTGCACCCTAGCCTGACAGAATGAGACCCTGTCTCAAAAAAAAAAAAAAAAAAAGCAAGCCTAAGATGTTTATTTTCTGGACTTTTACAGAAAAAGTGCCAATCCTTGGTCTAGAAGTAATTATAATATAAATAAGCCCATCAAACTTTTATTAGGCCTGATTCTACCTGTGATTGAAAAGTAAACCACTCGGGTGGGTGCAGTGGCTTGCACCTGTAATCCCAGCACTTTGAGAGGTTGAGGTGGGCGATCATGAGGTTAGGAGTTCGAGACCAGCGTGGCCAACATGGGGGAACCCCCATCTCTACTAAAAATACAAAAATTAGTCGGGCATGGTAGCGCATGCCTTGTAATCCCAGCTACTCGGGAGGCTGAGGCAGGAGAATCGCTTGAACCCAGGAGGCGGAGGTTGCAGTGAGCTGAGATCACGCCATTGCACTCCACCCTGGGCGACAGAGCACGACTCTGTTTCAAAAAAAAAGAAAAGTACACTACTCAAAAGACCCTTTAGGCTGCTGCATATAGCTTGATGCTTTGCCTTGAAAATCAGAAACTCAAATACAAACAAATACAAGCAAAGGCCTTGGGAAACAGCCCTGTGGAGAGGAGTGTAGCACCAAATATGGGGTTGGACTGGATGAATGTTAAAGGGCCCTCCCAACCTGAAAGTTGTGAGTTAAAATCATTTTGCTCAATAAGAACCTTGCAACAAATTTATATTGATGATGATAGTTTGAAGATACAGGAATCGGTTACTTCATTTAAATGCTGCAGCCTCATGAAAAATTACATTCATTCAGTAAACATAAATGCCTAATAGAGTACTAAGCATTGGGTAAAGCTACAAAGAATGATGAAAAATACCTAATTCTAAGGTTAATCCTACAGTCCTTAATTTTTTTTTTTTTTTTTTTTTTTTGAGATGGAGCGTCACTCTGTCACCCAGGCTGGAGTGCAGTGGCACGATGTCTGCTCACTGCAAGCTCCGCCTCCCGGGTTCATGCCATTCTCCTGCCTCAGCCTCCCGAGTACCTGGGACTACAGGCACCCACCACCACGCCCGGCTAATTTTTTTTTTTTATTTTTAGTGGAGACGGAGTTTCACCATGTTAGCCAGGATGATCTGGATCTCCTGACCTTGTAATCTGCCCACTTCGGCCTCCCAAAATTCTGGGATTACAGGCATGAGCCACCACACCCAGCCTGCGGTCTTTAATTTTTAATTAACTTTGATATGTTATACTGTGCAAGTTTTCTGGTTAGTTGTTATGCTGATGAATTTAATAATTGTCTTACCTTTTTTGTTTCCAGCCTTGTCCTGCCAAGAAGTTACTGATGATGAGGTCTTAGATGCAAGCTGCTTGTTGGATGTCTTAAGAATGTACAGATGGCAGATCTCATCATTTGAAGAACAGGTGAGTACAACATTTGAACAGGTTTAGCTTGGAGAATCCTTTCCCCTAGTGACTTGGGGCCTGACCTTAAAATTGCCTGGCCCCAGTGTACATTTCTGTGACATTTTAGACAACTTTAGTGTTCTGGGACCAGAGTACCAACTTTGTTCCTGCTCTCATGATCAGAGGGGAGATACAGCTGTTTTTCACTCAGTGGATGGAAGGTTAGCAGGATGGGACATAAACACACAGTTGCCAAAGAGCAAAATCTTTTTAGTTCTTGAGTGACTTGGCACTCCAATAAGTGATAGGGACACCTGGGTTCTTTAGAAAGAGGCAGGTGACTTTACCTTGGAGGCCCAGAGGTTTAGGTAAGATTTTTCTGGACCACACCCTCATTTTTTAAAAAATCAATCTTCGGAGCTTTGCTTAAAGTAGCCCGAAACCTCAAGCAGATGTCATATGCAATTTCAAGGCCGTATTCAGTCACTCCCACCTCCCTTTTCCACAACTACAGCTTTGCTGCCTTTTTTGGAACTTGGCCACCCTCCTCCCCGCCAGACCGCTGTTACCAACAGCAAGTCTGAAGCAGAGGCCAAGAGAATGAAGTTCTAGAGATGAAAAAATCTAGCCCCCAGTGACATACAGGTGCATCCTCCACAGCCACACTTCCAAGATGGCCTTGTCCAGCTTCGTGTAGGCGTTGTCTGCCGCCACTATCCAGAGAAATGGGAGGCGGCATCTTGGACCTCCCAAAACTGTGGGGCCGACGTGAGGGGCATCGAGAGACTTTTGGAAAGGGAGCTGGGGAGGCTTTCTAGCACCCCTTATTTTTAAAGGTGTTCTCTTGTTTTTGCTTTATTCTGAAGCCACAGGTCACTTTTTAGACATGGTGGTGGTATCTATACTTTCTTAAAATGTATCTCAGTTAATCCAATTGTATGTTGCAACGTTTTTCTATTTAGAAAATACTTTTAAAATCCTCCTCTGGTAACTGGAATTATTTATCTACATTTTACATTTCCCTAAACTGAGAGAATAACTTGGAGATTTAGTCACCAAGGACATCAGATAACTTTTTTAAGGTCCGACTTCTCCATCAAGGACTCACTTAGGTCCCAGTCACTCCTTGGAAGTATTTCCAACATCTTCAGCCCACAGCAGTCACTGAGCCCACATCGTGCTGTAGTCTGCAGGAAAAAGAGGTGAACACGTCTGTCCGGTGGCCTTTTTCTCTTTGAAGGTACCCAGAGCGTCTAGCATGGGCCTTGCCCACATCTTTATTATCAGCGATCCAGTCAATCAGGAGCAGATTTTCCCTGATTGTCAACCCATTTTCTTTGTCTAAAGCTAGAGCTTCAGAGGATGCATTGGGCCAAAGGCTTGCTTTGTGCAAATTACCTGATTTTATTATCACAATAACCATGTAAGGAATTACTGTTGTCCCCATTTTACAGATGGAAAAACACTGAGGCTCAGAGAAGTGGAATGATTTGCCCAGAATCATGCAGCTATTTAAGGGGCAGAGCCAGGATTTAAGACAGTCTAGTGCTACAGTGCACATTCAAGCTCCCCCTCCTCTGCAGTGCTGTCCCTTTCCTTAAGGCCTAGTTGTTACATGGCTGACCCACGGTTTAGGTTATAGATCCACCTCCATCCTTTCTCGGATCTGCTTCAAGCCTGGGCCCAGATGCCTGGTGTGTGAGGGCTCCTTGAGCCTCCCAGGAAGTGCTGATTCTCCTCCAGGTTCCCTGCTTCCTGTTCATCTGTACAGGGCTGCACCTCTGGTGTGCCGTTGGCTAATAGCTAGGCTGCCACACCTCCCCTGGATTGTGAGTCCCTCAGGGGCTAGAGCCTTGCCTTATTTATCTTTGAATCTCTACTTCCACTCTACAGCTGCAGTTTTATAGCCCAGGAGGGAATTCATTTATATAGGCAACAAGTATTTATTGAATGCCTGCCTGGGGTGGGGACTGTCGAGGGCAATGGAGTCGTAGCAGCAGACATGACTTGCAGGAGTTTCCTGCTCTCTTAGAGCTGGTATTCCAGTGGGGGATGAGGATAGCAGGCAGGGGTCGGTGCAGACAGTAAGCAGGGGATTTCAGGATATGCTAACAAGAAACTAGCTGGTGTAACATGGCATGGATAGGGAGGGCAGAGGAGGAGGAGCCAAGCTACAGGGGGAGACTGCTCCAGGTAGGGAGGCTCCTCTCAGGAGGTGAGGTTTCAGCGGAGACCGGAAGTATAAAAGAGAGTGAAGTGTGTGGACACCTGGGTACAGAGCATTCCAGACAGATGAAGAAGCTAGGGTATAAGTCTGGAGATGGTTATAAAGCTGCCACCTGTGGAGAATGGCAGGGAGGCCAGGGCGGGGAGGGCGGTGGAGGAGAGGGGCTGGCGAAGTTGGCAGGGAGCAGATTGTGCAGGGACTAGGAGGCTGCGGGCGGCATCAGCTTCTATTGTGTTTGCAGCGGGGAGCCACTAGAGGACTTTGAACTGGGGACTGGTTTGATCTGACTTGTTAGAAAAGGAAGGCTGGAGGGGCAAGAATGCAAGCCGAGAGGAAAGGTGGGAGGCCGCTGCAGTTATCTGGCCGAGATGGTGTGGCTCAGACTGGGGTCGAAGCAGGGTAGCTGAGAGTCCTCAGGAATTTAGGGCGTATTTTGGAGGAGGGTCCTTTTTTCAGGACTGCTGCTGAATTGGCTGAGGGTGGGTTAGAGTTCAGAGGGGTGGAGGCAGCTTTGGATAATTGGTTGGGGAGTATGCCCTGTGGAGGAGCTCTTTTGGCAGAGACCTGAAGGATAGGAGGTAGCCGTGCGAAGGTCTGAGCACAGCCCGAAATGGGAATAAGCTGGATATGTTCAAGGAACAGCAAAGAGGCCAGGGGCCGGGACATTGTGAATGTTGGGGGCTTTGTAGGCCAGATAAGAATGGTAGGTTTTACTCTAGTAGTGGAAGCCATTGGAAAGCTAAAAGCAGAAGAGTAAAGCTATCTGCCTTTTAAAGTATTGCTCTGGTGGCAGTGTGAGGGGACACCAAAGGAGAAGCAGAGGGCCTGTGTTGTGACCCCGTTACTCCCGGAAGAGTGAGGGGTGGCTTGGGTTTTTGGGGAGAGAGCCATTTGAGTTGATCCTTCAAGAGTAGTCCCATGCCATTGGATCCAGCAACCCCGCTGCTGGGTACAAACCAAAAGAATTCAAAGCAGGGACTCAGTAGGGTATTTGTATACTCAGGTTAATAGCAGCATGTTCGCAATAGCCAAGGGGTAGAAGCAACCCAAGTGTTCATCGGCTGATAAATAGGTAAACAAAACTTTCATACAATGGAATATTATTCAGCCTTAAAAAGGAAGGAAATTCTGCAGTATGCTACAACATAGGTGAAGCTTGAAGACGTTATGCCGAGGAAAATAAGCCAGTCACAAAGACCAACACTGTATGATTCCACTTGTGTGAGGTTCCCAGAGTAATCAGATTCCTAGAGAGATAAAGAATGGTGGGTGCCAGGGGTTGGGGAAGGGGAAATGGGAAATCAGTGTTTAACAGATATGGAGTTTCAGCTGGGGAAGATGAGAAAGTTCTGAAGATGGATGGCAGTGATGATTGTACAACAACATGAATGTACTTAATGCCACAGAATCATTCATGTTAAGATGATAAATGTTATGATATGTGTATTTTACCACAATTAACAAAAAACATAATCTTTTGAAATCGGAGTGGAGGTCAAGGCTGTCTCAGTGAAACAGAATGGTCTCATAGACTGCTGGCGTGAAGGCAGCCACCTGGCTTTCTCTCCTGCTCTCTGCTCCTGGACCTCTTGCTTGAGGGTCTTCACTCGTGACAGTGTCCAGGACATAACTGTTTTCTTTAATGAGCTGGGCCTTGAGAAGGTAGAAAGCAAATTCTACCCACATTCACTGTAGGGTGTCTGCCCGAGGTGGGTAGTTCTGATCTTGCTCTTGCCTCTTCCAACCTCTCTAAAGAATGCTTTGCCCTATGACAGGATGCTCACGAATTATTCCATGTCATTACCTCGTCATTGGAAGATGAGCGAGACCGCCAGCCTCGGGTCACACATTTGTTTGATGTGCATTCCCTGGAGGTAAACCATTAATATTTCCAACACGTTCTGTGCAGCTTGTGCATATTTAATAAGTATAGGGGAGGCAAGTGTAATCTTTGTACAACTTTAAAAGTAAGATTCAGTAAAAATCAGTGGTGGGAATGAGGCCAGGGGAGGGTCTTAAAACTACATGCTTTGCAGTTGGTGATCTGATTAGGGATGTCAAGGCTCTTTCAAATGATTCATTGCTGCAATTTGTGTTGGCTTTGAGAATAAAGAATGTGTTATTTTTTCCTGTTTAATACAGGGGAACAGGGGCCATAGGAATGCTAAGTGAGCCCTCATTTCCCTGTAACAGTATAAATATCGGAGGAGTTGACAAAAGTTAACCAGTAAGGATGAAAATATTCTGGAGAGAAGAAATATGTTTCTATTGCATTTGATGAAAGAATATTCATAGTATCCAGCCAGATAGGCTAATTGAGGCTACCTTTAGAAACCTGAGCTTTGTTAAAAGTTGATTTTTAGTGGTGTAATCAACGTAGAAACTTGTAAGGTTTAGGGGTGGGGTGAGGGTGGTGAAAGGGATTATAGTAAGGTTTTCAGTCTGTTTTTTTTTTTTCTCCCCTACAGCAGCAGTCAGAAATAACTCCCAAACAAATTACCTGCCGCACAAGAGGTAGCTGTTTTCCATTGAAATATAACACATAAGATGTGGACTTTTAAGATATGATAATAATTTGCTTGTTTTAAAAAGATTTTTTTCTGGTGACATACAGGCCAGCTTGAAGTGTGATGTGCTTGCAAAGGAACTTGTATTTTGGAAATAGCTTTAAATAGATTCTCTTGGTGTTCCCTTGCACCCCAGCCCAGCTGACTTTTCTTGAAACTGGCTTATTTGTACTTCAAACAAGGGCTTTCTTTTTACCTTTTTGAATTGATCCTGGGAAGAACATAATGAGCTGAATCTGTCGTGTCCTCAGCATTTCCAGTGCTGCCAAATTCTATTGCATATTACCACAGTCATCCTTAGGAGGAAATTGTTGTTTTCTTAAGACTTAAAAAATAAGATTAGCATATTAATTCCTCTGTGTAGTAATAGGAACAAATATTTTTTGAGCCCATGCTGTTTGCCAGGCATTGCATTATCTCATTTAAGCCTCATAACAACTCTACAAAGTTGATGATACTGGAGTTAATGGGATAATAACTATCCCAATTTTCCGCACACTGAGGCTTGTAGAGATTAAAGGCATTCCCAGGTCAGGTAGTGAATAAGAAGCACAGCCAGAGCTGATCCCTGGGCTGCACAACTCCAGAGCCCAGGTTTCTCACTTATGTTCTTTCCATTAAACCCCATTCTAGCCAAAGAAAGGCCTAGTTATTCAGAACTTGCTTATTCTGTTTATTTCAGAAGATTTTATCTCGCTTTATGGAATGTTCACTTGTGGTATCCTTCTTTTGACATCTCAAACATTTTAAGCATATGTTTGTAAAAAGACATTATTCAACACAAATTCCTTTTTAAAATGTGGCTCTACCCATTATACAGAAACCGTATATAAAGATAGATCTGTGTAAATTCTCCTATGAAGGAATGGGATGTCTTTTGGATGGAAGTCAATGAGGAAAGCTATTTCAATGTACTTTTCAAGAATATTTTTTCTTAAGAGGTAGTTTCTACCACATGCTAGAAAGGAAGATGAATGTTGAGCTTGGTGCCAAAGGGCTAAAAGTGACATATCAAAAAACTTTTTGCATTCCAGGGTCACCTCACCCTACATCCAATCACTGGAAGTCTCAACATCCTTTTCATGGAAGACTCACTAGTAATATGGTCTGCAAACACTGTGAACACCAGGTAAATACAATACCAACACTTGATATTTCCGGGAGAGGTTTTCCAAAAGTTAGGATTCTTGAAAGGACCTAGAGAGTGGGCTGACATCGGTCACTGGTGTTAGAGACTACCTGGCCTCTGCACACTAGTGGACTGACTACCCCACTTTGGTCAGTGTCAGCATGTCATTTGAGGTCAGATGGCATCTTCTGCACCAAGGACAACAGACCCACTGTGGATTGGCAGGCTCTTGAGTCCAGTGGTTGAGTCTATGCTCATGGTGGACACAGTAGATTCTAGGGCTGGTTTTTTCCCCTTTACTTTTGAGGTTTTAAAATAATATTTTATTATGGAAAATTTCCAACATCATACAAAAAGAGAGAATTGTACAACTGTCACCCCAATCCATTTTATTTTATTTTATTTTTTCACAGCCATTACTGACTCCGGGATCAGTCAACTTTATAACATTTTCATTGCCCCCTAAAGAAACTCCATACTCATTAGCAACCTCTCCCCATCCTTTCCATCACCCTACCCTTGTCAACCATGAATCTACCTCTGTCTCTATGGATTTGCATATTCTGGATGCTTCATATAAATGGAATCATGTAATGTGTGGCTTTTTGTGTCTGGCTTCTTTCATTTAGCATAATATTTCCACGTTTCTTCCATATTTTGGCATGAATCAGTACTTTGTTCCTTTTATTACCAAATAATATTGCATTACATGGATCTACAACATTTTTATCCATTCATCAGTTGATGGGCATTTGGATTGTTAACACTTTTTGGCCATTATGAATAATGTTGCTGTGAACATTTACATACAAGTTTTTGTGTGGACATATATTTTCACTTCAGTTGGGTATATACCTCAGAGTAGAATTGCTAGCTTATATGGTAACTCTTTTGTTTAACCTTTTAAGGAACTGCCAGACTGTTTTCCAAAGTGGCTATGCCATTTTTCATTCCCACCGGCAGTGTATGAGGGGTTCCAATTTCTTCACAGCCTCACCCACATTTTGATGTCAGCCCACTCTCTAGGTCCTGTCTAACATTGAGGTTCTAGCCATCCTACTGAGTGCAAAGTAGTATCTCACTGTGGCTTTTTCCCCCAGTTTTATTGAGATCTAATCGACAATAAAAATTGTATATATTTAGGGTGTACAAAGTGAAGATTTGATGTATGACTGTGTGTGTGTGTGTGCACGTGCACCTGTGCTCATATGTGGTGAGAACACTCTCTTAGTATATTTCAAGAATACAATACAGTATTATTAACTGTAGTCACCATGCTGTACGTTAACTCTCCAGAACTTATTCGTCTTATAACTGAAGGTTTGCATCTTTGAGCAACATCTCCCCACCTCCCCAGCCCCTGGCAGCCAGCATGTACTCTGCTTCTGTGAGTTTGACTTTTCTAGATTCCATATAGGTATGAGATCAGGTGGTGTTTATCTTTCTATATCTGGCTTATTTCACATAGCAGATGTCCTCCAGGTTCATCCATGTTGTCACAGATGGTAGGACTTCCTTTTTGATGGCTGAATAATATTCCATTATATGTGTATACCACATTTTCTCATTCATCTGTCTGTGGACATTCCATATCTTGGCTATTGTGAATAATGCTACAATGAAGATTGTTTTGCAGATGTATCTTTGAGATACTGATTTCATTTCCTCTGGATATATACCTAGGAGTGGCATTGCTAGTTCATATAATAGTTCTATTCTTAACTTTTTGAGGAACCTTCATACTGTTTTCCATTTACATTCCCACCAACAGTATGCAAGAGTTGCCTTCTCTCCACACCCTCGGCAACACTTGTTACGTGCTGTCTTTTTTTTTCAGACAGAGTCTCGCTCTGCTGCACCCAAACTAGAGTGCAGTGGTGCCATCTTGGCTCACTGCAACCTCCGTCTCTTGGGTTCAAGCAATTCTCCCACCACAGTCTCCCAAGTAGCTGGGATTACAGGCACCCGCCAACACACCCAGCTAATCTTTTGTATTTTTAGTAGAGATCGGGTTTCACCATATTGGCCAGGCTGGTCTTGAACTCCCAACCTCAAGTGATCCGCCTGTCTCGGCCTCCCAAAGTGCTGGGATTAAGGCATGAGCCACTGTGCCTGACCACATGCTGTCATTTTGGTAATAGCCATCCTAACAGGTGTGCGGTGATAGCTCTTTATGGTTTTATTTGCATTTCCCTGATGATTAGTGATATTGAGTGCCTTTTCATATACCCACTGGCCATTTGTATGTCTTTTTTTTGCAAAGTGTCTGTTCAGCTCCTTTGCCCATTTTTTAATCATGTTACTTTTTCTTTTTTTTTTTTTTTTTGCTGTTGGTCCATATGAGTTCCTTATAAACACTCTTTTAGTGTATTTCAAGTATTCAATTTTGGATATTAACCTCTTATCAGATATATGGTTTGCTAATATTTTCTTTCATTCCATATGTTGCCTTTTCATTTTGTTGATTGTTTCATTTGCTGTGTCATTGCGGTTCTGAGTGACATTACCTTGAAGACTAATATGTTGAATGGTCTTTTTAAAAATAAGGTTCATATATTAAAAGATATGTAAGATATGTTAAGGAACTGTAATCTATAAGTTGACTATTCATCTCTTTTTTCCGTGCATTATTTTGATACTATTGTAAGTGGAATTTAAAAAAATTTATTTTCAAATTGTTTGCCACTAGTATATAGACATACAGCTGTTTATATATTGACCTTATATCTTGAGATTTTTGTAAACATTCATTTATTACTTCTAGAAGCTGTAGAAGTTTTGTTATGTATTCCTTAGCATTCTCTGTGTATGCAAACAGTCATGTTGCTTATGAATAGAAATAGTTTTAGTTCTTCCTTTCCAACCCAATCTTTATTCCTTTTTTTTTTTTTTCTTTGCCTTATTATCCTGGCTAAGACTTATGGTACAAAGTTAAATAAGAGTGATGATGGCAGACATCTTTGCTTTGTTTCAAATCTTCTGAAGCAAGTATTTGGTGTTTTATAATTAAGTATGATATTAGCTTTAGGTTTTAGTATACCTCTTTATCATACTGACAAACTTCCCTTCTGTTCCTAGTTTGCTGAGAATTTTTGTAATGAATAGTGATTGGATTTTGTCAGTTTTTTCTGCATCCATTGAAATGATCATATTTTAGTCTTATTCTGTTGACTTGGTGAATTACAGTGATTGATTTTTTCTTTTTTTTTTTTTTTTTGAGACGGAGTCTTGCTCTGTCGCCCAGGCTGGAGTGCAGTGGCGTGATCTCGGCTCACTGCAAGCTCCACCTCCCAGGTTCACGCCATTCTCCTGCCTCAGCCTCCCGAGTAGCTGGGACTACAGGCGCCCGCCACCACGCCCGGCTAATTTTTTGTATTTTTTAGTAGAGACAGGGTTTCACCGTGTTAGCCAGGATGGTCTCGATCTCCTGACCTCGTGATCCGCCTGCCTCAGCCTCTCAAAGTGCTGGGATTACAGGCATGAGCCACTGTGCCCAGCCAGTGATTGATTTTTCTAATGTTAAACCAACCTTTCTGGGATAAACCCCACTTGATCATGATGCTTTATTGTTTTTATATATTATTGAATTTGATTTGCTAATATTTCCTAAAGGATATTAGTATCTGTGTTTATGAGGAATATTGTTCTTACACTTTTCTTCTCTTGTGATGTCTTTGTCAGGCTTTGTTATAAGGATTATACTAGCCTCATAAAATAGGCTGGAAAATGTTCCTTCCTCTGTTTACTGAAAGATTTTGTTTAATATTGGTATTATTTCTTGCTTGTTTGCTAAAATTTGTCTTTTCTTTAGCTCTATTTCTGCTAATTTTTTTTAAACTTTGTTATTGGATACAAGCATATGTATTATGATGAGTTAACTCATCTTGTCATGATAAATTGTCCCTCTTCATCTCTGCTAAGACTCCTTGACTTGAAGTCTATTTGAATGATTCATTTTTAATCTAGCTAATGTTTATTTGGTCATTTCTTTCTGTCATTTTCGGCCTTTGTATTTAAAGTGTGACTTTGTGGACAGCATATAATGGGTCTTGCTTTTTTAACTAGCTTGACAATCTTTTAGTTGGAATGCTTAGTCCATTTACATTTAATGTAAGTATTGATGTGATTAGATTTAGGTCTGCCATTTTACCATTTGTTTTCTGTTTGTCTTACATATTTTCTTGTTCCTCTGTTCCCCCTTCACTGGCTTCTTTCAGGTTAATGGAATACTTTTTAGTATTCCATTTTAATACCTTTGTTGGCCTTTTAGCTTTACTCTTGTGTGTTTGTGTTGGGGGGGGAGGGTGTGTGTGAGAGATTACGTTATGCAGTTTTACCTTATCACATTCTATTTAGAGTTAATATTATACTTCATGTAAAATCCTGGAATATTACAAAAGTATAGTTCTGTTACCCCAGCCTTTGTGCTATTATACATACATTATAAACCTCACAATACTGTGTCATAGTTTTTGCTTTAAAGAGTTATATGTGTTTCATTTCATTTCCTTTGGATATATACCTGGAAGTGGTATTGCTAGTTCATACAGTAGTTCTGTTCTTAACTTTTTGAGGAACCTCCTCCGTACAATTTTCCATAATAGCTGCACCAGCCAGGTGCTGTGGCTCACGTCTGTAATCCCAGCACTTTGGAAGGCTGAGACGAGTGGATCACGAGGTCAGGAGTTCAAGACCAGCATGGCCAACATGGTGAAACCCCGTCTCTACTAAAATTACAAAAATTAGCTGGGCCTGGTGGCGGGCGTCTGTAATCCCAGCTACTCGGGAGGCTGAGGCAGGAGAATGGCTTGAACCCAGGAGGCCGATGTTGTGGTGAGCCGAGATCACGCCACTGCACTTCAGTCTGGGCGACAGAGTGAGACTGAGTCTCAAAAAAAAAAAAAAATAGCTGCACCAGTTTACATTCCCACCAGTAGTATGCAAGAGTTGCCTTCTCTTAAGAGGCTGAGGCAGGAGAATTGCTTGAACCTGGGAGGCAGAGGTTGCAGTGAGCCGAGATCACACCACTGCATGCCAGCCTGGGCGACAAAGCGAGACTCCATCTCAAAAAAAAAAAAAAGAGTTGCCTTCTCTTCTACTAATTAATTAATAGAAAAATATGTTTACCATTTTTCTTGTTCTCAGTCTTTCTTGTAGATCAAAATCCATTTGATGTTTTTTCCCTTTTGGCCTAAAAACTTCCTTTTAACATTTGTTATAGGTGTACTGCTGACAGATACACTTAGATTTCATGTATATGAAAATGTTTTTGTCTTGCCTTCATTTTTGAAGAATACTACTGCTGGATATAGAACTTTGGGTTGACAGTGTTGCCGTGGTTTTGCTTTGGTTTATTTTAAATTCATCACTTTAAGGACATTGTTCTATTGTCTTCTGGCCTCCATTTTCTCAGTTAGTGTCATTTATATCATTCTTGTCTATGTAAATTGTCATTTGTTTTTCTTCTGCTTACACTGCTTACAAAATTTTCTCTTTATTTTTGTTCATGCTGCGCATAGATGTGGTTTTCTTAGTATTTATCTTATTTATCTTGTTTGGGGTTTGCTGAGTTTCTTAAATTTGTACTTTTTTTAACCAAGTTTGAAAATTCTTGGCTGTTATTTTTTCAACAAAGATTTTATGCCCATTTTTCACTTGTTATTTTACTTAATGTTGGCCCACAGGTCACTGAGGTCTTGTTCAATTTTCTTCAATCTTTCTTCTGTGTGTTCTTTAAATTAGATCATTTCTATTGACTTATCTTCACGTTCACTGATTCTTTTTTCTCTTTTTTTCTTTTCTTTTTCTTTTTTTTTTTCTTTTTTTTTTTTTTTTTTTTTTTTTTTTGTGACAGGGGTCTTAGCTCTGTCACCGAGGCTGGATTGCAATAATGTGATCATAGCTCACTGCAGCCTCAACCTCCCAGGCTCAAGTTATCCTCCCACCTTAGCCCCCTGAGCAGCTGGGACTACAGGTGTGTGCCACCACACCCAGCTAATTTTTTTTTATTTTTTGTAGAGACAGGGTCTCACTGTGTTGCTCAGGTTGGTCCTGAACTCCTGGGCTCAAGTGATCCTTACACTTCAGCCTCCCAAAGTGTTGGGATTACAGGTGTGAGCCACCATACCTGGCCTGATTCTTTTTTCATCTCCAATCTCTGTTTGCCTATGCAACAAATTTTTCATCGTAATCACTGTTGTTTTTAGTTATAGAATTTCCATTGCCTTCTTTTTAATAGTTTCCATTGTTCTGAGATTCTCAATTTGTTCATTCACTGTCACTGTATATTTTCCTTTACATCCTTGAGCATATTTATGATACATCTGTGAGGTCCTCGTGTGCTGACTTCTTTGTATTTTATGTTTGGTAATTTTTTATTGTATGCTTAACATCATAATAGAGACATAGAGAGTAGGGATTCTGTTACATATCTATGAAGAAAAATTAATTTTCTTCTGGCCTGCAGTTAACCTGGCTGGGCTCAAACTCAACTCTGTCTCCCCTACATTGGGCAGCAAAATCTCTGCTCAGTTTTTTTAGCTTCCAGCTGCTACTTTTTGCCAGGCTCCCTGGAGTTTCCCCCTGTGCACGTGTGGTTCAGGGATCAGCCCTGGAATTGAACAGAGTTTAGGTATAAACTTTGGGGCTCATCCCCTCTGTGTCTCCTTTCTTCCTGGCATTTCCCCTGGTCTCTCCACCAGCCCTGATTCTTGAACTCTGTCGTCTGACCACTCAATCCTGTAGGATGCTGCTTTTCGCCACCCAGCACCACATCAACCAGGAAAAAAAGCCACAAACACACAAATCTCGCCCACAGAGTTCTGTTTTTCCAACAGTTGACTTCTTTTCCATTTCTGCCTGCTTTTGGTAGCTCTCCGTTCATTCAAACGGTTTTGTTTTGTTGCAAACTTTACAATTGTTATCTCAAGGAGGGCCAATCTACCCAAGCACCTCTGCCATCACCAAAAGCAGGAACTCTCTCACCCTACTTCATCGTCTCCTTTTTTGCAATGAATAATCTAACATGAACATCTTTCCACATGATCATATGTTCTTCTACATTTTGTTTAACATAGTGTTTCATTCTGTGGACATGCCATATAATTTATTAAACCATTTGCTAGAACTTCCAACTACAGTCATGTGCTATATAATGATGTTTTGGTCAATGACAAACCACATATATGATGGTGGTCCCGTAAGATTATAATACTTTATTGGTACGGTACCTTTTCTGTTTTTAGATACACAAGTACTGCCCACTGTGTTACAGTTGCTTACAGCATTCAGTACGGTAACATGTTATACAGGTTGGTAGCCTAGGAGTAGTAGCTAGACAGTATAGCCTAGGTGTGTAGTAGGCTGCACCATCTAGGTTCTTGTAAGCGCGCTCTGCGATGTTTACACAATGATGACATCACCTAAGGATGCATTTCTCAGACTGTATCCCCATTGTTAAGTGATGCTGACTGTATTCAAATTTTTGCTATTACAAATAATGTTGATGAATATTCTTGTAGTTATGCCCATGGTTATTTCCTTAAAAATCCCAAAATTATTGCTGGGTCAGATATTTAATCTTTCAGTTGTTCCAAGCGATTCTTTAGTATTATTGTACCTCTTATGTGTACAAGGTTGTTTTAATATGTTTTAATAGAATTTTATTCTAAGTACATTATATTTTACTGTGTTAATGTTGGGCATCTCAATATTAAACTGTTTCATAGTCACATATCTTGCATCTTTAAAACTTTGAACTAAGCCTAAATCGTTTCTGGATTTTCTGCAATATTTCTTTCAGAGTCCTGTTCGATTTGATACCTTTGATAGCCTTTCACTAAGTATTCCAGCCGCCACATGGGTATGTACTGATTTATGGTTTATTTGGAGTCTGTTTCAGAAACATTTCAATCTGAAAGGGCTTTGAGGCATTTTATGTGGCTCAGGCACTATGTGTAATTCAGATACATGGTTGGTTGAACCCTCTCTTAACTTTCATATGGTGGCATGATTATGGGAGAGAGGAAAATGAATCGTTTTTCTTTTGCTCCAGAAATTTTGGCTTTTTGAATACACACGCACGCATGCGCGCACACACACACACACACACACACACACACACACACACACAGACATTAACCTCAGATTGAAAGATACCTAAAACAGCGTGGAAGTCCACAAGTTCGTGCAGTTACATCCTCATGCTCTAGAATCTGTCCGTAGTAGCAGTCTAGGGTGCTTTGAGCCCCATGTTTGTCCAGGAAACATCCAGTTGTGACTATAAAACTTTATTGCCTGCATACATCAAAATAAAGCTCTGGTCTTCACACTGCCATCTGCTAACAGTTTCAGTATAGCTGTCCTTTGAATTGTAGTAATTTTCTTCTTCTCATGCTGTAGGGTCACCCATTGACCCTGGACCACTGCCTTCACCACTTCATCTCATCAGAATCAGTGCGGGATGTTGTGTGTGACAACTGTACAAAGGTATGCATTGAACCCCAAATGTCATCGCCAGCTGGCCTGTGTGTGCTGATGTAGCGCCTCTCACACCAGTGACCCTGAGCTCTTCTGACTGTATCCAGTGGGTCTTTTCAGCCACTTCTACTTCTCCCTAATTTGGTTTGGACATTGGCAGCTCATGGACCAAATCTCTTTCCCAGATGAGTTTTGTTTCATGCACAGTGTTTAAAGAATAAACTGTCACGCTGAGATGAGAAATGCCCTCTCCAGTTTGCTGCAGTTGCCTCCAATCCCATTTGTTTTACACCCTTCCTTTTAACCTGTGCTACCTGCCTGACTCCCCTAAGTAACTTGAGTTTTCCCCTCTGACTCAAGAGGAACTGTATGGAACAGAATTTTTGAAGACAGAGAACAATTAATAGATGACATGCCAGTGTCAGAGCATCAGTGTTCGCTCTTCACATTCTCTTCCCTCCACTGTTTCTGTTATTTAATGACTAAGAGGGATCAGGGAAAACAATTCACAAATAACTGGGCAGCTGGGTTCATTTCAGCAGGTAGCAGTCAAGTGCCAATTGTGTGCCGCTATAACACCACTGTGGTCTGCAGCACTCCAAAGCTGTCCTATTTTAGGCATTGCTGCAGAGAAATGTTCCTTTTATTTCAGATTGAAGCCAAGGGAACGTTGAACGGGGAAAAGGTGGAACACCAGAGGACCACTTTTGTTAAACAGTTAAAACTAGGGAAGGTGAGCCCACACTACACACCCTGTTGGCTTTGTTTTGAGGACTCCGTGTATCCTGCCCCTGAAACAACTCGGTTCTCCCGATTTCTCTTCCACCCGCAGCTCCCTCAGTGTCTCTGCATCCACCTACAGCGGCTGAGCTGGTCCAGCCACGGCACGCCTCTGAAGCGGCATGAGCACGTGCAGTTCAATGAGTTCCTGATGATGGACATTTACAAGTACCACCTCCTTGGACATAAACCTAGTCAACACAACCCTAAACTGAACAAGAACCCAGGGCCTACACTGGAGCTGCAGGATGGGCCGGGAGCCCCCACACCAGGTGTGTGCGCGCGAGGAGCCGATGCAGCAGGAATTTTCAGCACAGAGAAAAGCAGTTTGGCATCACCACCTTCTGGGTCCCTTATGACAGGAGCACAAGGCTTGTACAATGGTGCTTAAACTCTTGAGAACAGCAGGATTGGGGGTGGAAGAGGGAAGATTTCTTAGAAGAGGTTAAAATTATGTAGCAGTGAGATGTATCGTTTTTGAAACCATATTACAGATGAAAAAGTACAGAGAGAAACGCTTAAAATTGCAGCTTTGCCTTCTAATTTTTCCGCTAAATGATATAATCATTGGCTCACATCATTCCAGTGAATTTCTTTTTTCGGTCATGTCATTTCCTGTCAGTAGAGGAAATGTAGGGAGGACATGTCCTGGCTAAAGATCACTGAGCCTCTTCTGGGGGTTGAAATGCCTTCTGTACTGAATTATGTATCTGATTCCATTACTGCCCTCAGCTGAGGTCTCATTTAAGCCGGGTAGCTATTATCGCCGGTCTTACTGATAAGAACATGGAGGCTCCACGGGGTTGAATGATTGGTCCAAGGGCAAACACCACACAGGAGAACTGGCCCTAGAATGCCATGTTGGGCCATTTTCTAAAGGTGTCTCATGTGACACACTGAGTTCTTTAGAGTTAGACATGAGGAAAACCCACTCACTTGAAGGGCTCACAGCCTGAACTCACCACCTGTCTGCTGCCCCCAGTTAGGTCAGGATTGTCTCACACCCCATACTTTCCTATTTAGGGTCCCTTACTCCTTTTGTTCTTTTTATGACCACAGTTGCATGGCCCGACACCTCATCATGTCAGGGAGATTGTGTTTTCCTCTTTCTCATCAAGTCACTAGATTAACATCGAAAAGAGATGAGGTAGGGGACAGACTCTGGTTCAGTCCTTGGCCCTGGTTTTAAATCAAAGACCTCTGCACCCCAGCTTCCCCATCTCCTGGGCTGGGGTGCAGGTTTACTAATGTTGAGAGCATGCTGGCTGTGGTTAAAGATGCCAGCAGTAGGGCCACTCGTGGTGGCTCACACCTGCAATCCCAGCACTTTGGGAGATTGAGGTGGGAGGATTGCCTGAACCCAGATGTTTGAGGCTGCAGTGAGCTGTGATCACACCACTGTGCTCCAGCCTGGGCAACAGAGCAAGATCCTGTCTAAAACACACACAAAAAATGTCATCAGGAAACTACTTGGTACATAACAGCCCCCAAAAATGACACTTGAAAGGAAAAGACATGTAAATATGGCCTTAATTATGTTGTCTACCCATAAACATGTATGAATGCTATTACACGTTGGTATTCCTTAGAAGCTGACAGAATTAAAGCAAATAGAATGCTTAGATCAGTGGTTCTCAACTTGGAGGAGTTTTGCCTCCCAAGGGACATTGGGCAGTGTCTGGTAACATTTTTGGTTATCACTACTGGGGGAGGGGTGCTACTGGTGTCTAGTGGGTAGAGGCCAGGGATGCTGTTCAACATCCTCTAATGCACAGGACAGCCCCCGCAACAAAGAATGATCCAGCCAAAACCATCATGGTGCTGCTGTTGAGAAACCTTGGTTTAGGTCAAAAGCCAGTAAATTAGCTACTGATTAACTTTGATACATGGCATTAGCAAACAGGGCTAGGAAGCTCAAAGATCCCAGGCTAGCCGTAAAGCTGGAGCTAGATACACTTTTCCTATTTGGGATTAAGACAGATTATCCCTATTTGAGATTAAGGATAAAGGGCAGATTATTTTATGAATCTATATAATACCAAATGAAATAGATTTTTTTCTTTGTAGCATTATGGGGAGTTAACTTTCAAGGTAATCAAAACCAGGTTTTGTTTACAGAGCCACTGCTAATTTTCATTGACTCGGGCCTTTTTCTCTTGCAGTTCTGAATCAGCCAGGGGCCCCCAAAACACAGATTTTTATGAATGGCGCCTGCTCCCCATCTTTATTGCCAACGCTGTCAGCGCCGATGCCCTTCCCTCTCCCAGTTGTTCCCGACTACAGGTGAGCCACCCTTTACAAGCCCCATCTTAGAGCTACCACTGCTCTTAGCTTCTAAAATTAGCTTTTCACAGAAATGAATTAAGGAAAATATAGATGTTTATTTTTCATTTTAAGGTGAAGTTTCACGATTACACATTCCTATTTATTTTTGTCCAAAATGGAAATAACTTTTAAATTAAAAATTTTTAAAGTACATAAAATTTACATATGCATATGTATGTGTGTATATATGTGTGTATGTATAAAATATAAAGAAAATTTAAAATTTCTTGGGATACCATCTAGAGATAGCCAATTAAACACTTAGGGTCATGCACTCTATAAAGTTGTACATCACACATACATATAGTGTACATAAACACATACACTCATTGATACAAACATCCACATATACACAATATACATATACTCATAGAATGTACATCTTGCCATGCCAGTAAATACAGATCTGTATTTTAATAGTTGTGTAGCATTTGGTGGTATGGACTTACCATTGTATTCATCCCCTATTTAACATTAGCATTCTTTTGTTTTTGCCTATAAAGTCTTTTTGTTAAAATTGTAAACCCCTGACATGTGTTCGTATCATTCAGCTCCTCCACATACCTCTTCCGGCTGATGGCAGTTGTCGTCCACCATGGAGACATGCACTCTGGACACTTTGTCACTTACCGACGGTCCCCACCTTCTGCCAGGAACCCTCTCTCAACTAGCAATCAGTGGCTGTGGGTCTCCGATGACACTGTCCGCAAGGCCAGCCTGCAGGAGGTCCTGTCCTCCAGCGCCTACCTGCTGTTCTACGAGCGCGTCCTTTCCAGGATGCAGCACCAGAGCCAGGAGTGCAAGTCTGAAGAATGACTGTGCCCTCCTGCAAGGCTAGAGCTGATGGCACTGTCTGCACTGTCCAGGAAAAAAGTAAAACTGTACTGTTGCGTGTGCAAGCGGCCCCACTAGAGCCTTCCAGCCTTCTGGTGTGTTCTAAGAGCAGGCTCCACCTGGGAGCCAGCCCCAGTTCACACCAAACCAGGCTCCCTGAACAGTCCTGTTCATGTGTGTAGGTGGTTCTGTTGTGTTAAGAAAGCATTCATTATGTCCGGAGTGTCTTTTTACTCATCTGATACAGGTAATTAAAAGAACTCAGATTCTTGAAGCCACCGTTTTCATATTGTAATGTTAGGTGTTCTCAGAGGGGAGGTACCTTTGTCTAATCAACGTTTCCACTTAGATCTTTTATTTTTAATAAGCAGGCCCATAAAAATTGTTGACAAGAATTAATGAAATTATTAAAGGCAACAATTTAGAAGAAAAAGTGCCTTTCACTTTCGATTGCTTTTGTAGCACGTCCATTGTGAAATATTCCTTCCAGGCTACTCAAAGGATAGCAAGAGAACAGGTAAATGATGCCTAAAGAACACCTTCCTTTTTCTATGCCTTTTCTAATCTTTCAATTCTTTCTATGGAGTAAAGGCTCATCTGCCAAATCTGCCCCCTGGGGAAACTCTTTCACTACTTTGTCAGTTATAAGTGAAGAGCTTACTTGTTGCTTTTATCTTTTGTATATTGGACTGAGATGTAATTACACTGTATTATAAAACTCTGTGAATAGCCAGAACTGAGCTGGATCTTTGCAACACCTGATTCCTCTGCTCTGTGGAAAACTTTTTCTTACACAAGGATCCACTGTGGACGGTTACTTTCATCTGTTTATTTATTGCCCATGCAGAGCTCTTAAGGTTTACAGGTGGGAGCTTGGGGCTGTATAAAAAAATAATCCCTGCCCTGAGTTGACACCTGGCTTAGGAAGGAAGGGCTGACTATGGGGCTGCAGTCTCTCTGAACCTCAGTTTCCTCATTTGTGAAGTGAAGGGTTAGATTTGATGACCACCAAAGTTCAGCCCTTTTCACGAAAAGGAGAAAGCAGCTTTTGACTTTTTAAAAAACATATAACTACAGCTGGCATCTAGTATTGTCATGTTGCTCTAGGTCCATATTCTGAATTTATTCATTTCCAATAGCCTAATACAAAAAGTATATATTGAGCACTTTCTTCCCTTTTCAGGTAAGTCTCTGAATGCAGCCCAGGGCCAAAGGAATTTTGATGACACAGTAGTACCTATGTTTTAAGCTATATTTTTAATTTAGAAAAATGGATACCAAATTCAAACCGACTCATCAGAGGTAAGATTTGGAATCAGACCTTTCCAAAAGGTCATCTGAGGTAAGGCTAAGACCGCACTTCCTCTGCTGGGGGTGAGCTGGCAGACACACCAAACAGTGCCTTGGCAGCAGCTCACAGTGCAGGAAGCCCAGGTGATCACTCTTCTGCTGGGCCCAGGCTGCACCCTGAGGACTCAGTAACTCACTCTCAACAGAATATTCTGTGCAGGCTCTCCAGGCTCTGGGCGTCAGGGTGCAAGGGGCAGCTTGAACTGTACGGTCCGTCCTGCACTCACCCGATGCAGACCTTGACTTTGATGTTGAAATGAACACACTTGTTTTACCCAAGTCTGGTGGAACAAATGCCCAATCATGTGACCTTAAAGTGTACTGCAAAGCTGTAGCTTTAAGTAATTGCTGTTCTGCCACTGCTTACTCTGAAATCTACCATCAAAGAAAGATAGAGAAAAGGGGCTGAGCCTTGGAATATATGGTTATAAGCAGATCTTTCTTTGGTCAGAGACCAGGGTTTGAGCCAAGGCTGTAAATGTGAACAATAGCTGTGCAAAGCCTTTTAACCTGACTTCTTCATTTTGTAAATTATTATGCATTAAGTAGCAGCCCAATAATCTGATTTCTAGTTTTATTTTCAAAGTAAGTAGCTTCTTTTGGGAAAAACCTAAGTTAAACTAGTAGTTTTGCCATAATAACTGCTGATTTATGTATTTGCTAAAGGTACTTTTGTATCTGCTGTGTATTATAGCAATAAAATAATCATTTTGTTAGAAAAAAATCACCTGGTGTTCTTTTGTAATACACTGATCTGTTACAAACATCATCTTTCTGAATTCTGCATTGTTACATAACAAGCCCTACGCTTTAAACCTTTCTGTGTTCCCTGTTGGTAAGGGAAATGCCAGCTCCCTCTTAGAGTCGAGAGGGAAAGAGAAAAGAGAAAAACTGTTAAAAATGTTTTTATTTTTTAGTAAGCAAAATTTTACGAAAAGTCAGATTCACCCGTGGAGCCAGAACCTTCTTTCTCACGGGAAGACTGTGGTACCAGTGCGTGTTGGTCGGGTGGTTCATCATTAGTAAGCTCCCGTGGGCCAGCGGCAGCCTGACCACCGCCACCCTCCTGGAGGGGCTTTTCCCACGGGAATCCTTATGCCGGAAGACAAAGTCTCTGCAGGCACCGAAGGAGACAGAGGCAATGGGGCTCCCAGGGGCCAGTTCTCTTTCATCATCTCGGTGCTCCCCGATGTGGTCACAGCCATCTTTATACCTGCAATGAGAAAACAAACACAGTGCATAAAAACAACCCTCTCCTGAAACTCACCAGCACCGCCAGCCCTCGTTTTCCTCACAGTGTGAAACAGCACTCTGCATGGCTGTACCTGCCGTTGTTTCTGCGAGGGCTTGAGGTCCACAGTGGGCTCTAAGATAAGCCAACGCTGAAGAGGTCTGTTGACGTATTTGTTCATGTGACTTATTTATTATTATTTTTGAGAGGGTCTCGCTCTGTCACCCAGGCTGAAGTGCAGTGGCACAATCATAGCTCACTGCAGCCTCGGCCTCCTGGGCTCAAGTGATTCTCCCACTTCAGCCTCCCAAGTAGCTGGGACTATAGGTATGCACCACCCCACCTAGCTAATTTCTTTTCTTTTGCAGAAACAGTTTCACCATGTTACCCAGGCTGGTCTCAAACTCGGGCTCAAGCAATTCACTCTCCTTGGCCTCCCAAAGTGTTGGGATTACAGGCATGAGTCACCACGTCCGGCCAGTTCATGTGCTTTAAAACTGAAGACACCCAAAGCCAAAATCACGTCTTACTGTAGTTCCCCTGGCCAGTCTATGTAAACCTTTATCACATGATTTTGCCCTGCACTCAAAGGCCATACTCTGCATAGCCCGGCCCCTGCCCACTGCTGAGCTCATGCCATCCCCTTCTTTCCCTCATTCACTGCTTTCCGGCCATCCTGCAGCATTTTTGCTTCACAGACACTCCAGAGTCCCTCTGCTCTCCCTCCAGATGTCTGTGGCTGGCACTCTCCATTTAGTTATCAGCTCAAACGCACTGCCTCAGCCCTCCTCTAACCACCCCATCTGAAGTGACCTTCCCTTAAACCCACCCAGGGTTCTCCACCAGGGTGATTCTGCCCCAGGGGACAGGTATTGGGGGGTGGGGGACACTACTTGCAATCTAGTGGATGGAGGCCAGGGATCTGCTCAACATCCTGCAAGGCACAGGTCAGCCCCAACAACAACGAATGACTGGGCCCAAAATGTCTGCAGTGCTGCCGTTGAGAAACCTTGCCCTAATCGCAAACCTCTCAGCCATTCTCAGTCAAATCGGCCTGTTTAATTTTTTGCAAGATGGTTATCACTGTCTGAAATCGTCTAGGGTCAGGCATAGTCGTTCACGCCTGTAATCCCAGCACTTTGGGAGGCTGAGGTGGGAGGATCGCTTGAGCCTAGCAGTTTGAGACCAAGCCTGGGCAACATAGAAAAACCCTGTCTCAAAAAAAAAAAAGAAAGAAAAAGAGAAGAAGAAATTATCTCATTCAGCTGTTTGTTCAGGAGTTAATCACCTCTCACTTCCTACTCCGGGATGAGCTCCAGGATCCAGGAAGACCGAGTGCTGGCGCTATTCCACTCTTAGAGCCCCAGTGTACTAAGAAATGATTTGTACCAATGAACCAAATAGGGTGGAACCCTAAACACTTCCTTTTGGAGGAGACAGAAGACTTGTAACATTGAGTCCACTAAACAGGGTGTCACCTGTTGATGAGCACAAAGTTGAAGGTCTGTCCAGTCACCCCAGAGACGTGATCCCGGATGCGCTCTAGAACTGGGATCCAGGGCTTTGGAGACAGCGTGAGGCCTGAAAATGTGTAGGTCAGCCCAGCGTCGCCATACGTTGCCTGCTTCCTGGGCACACTGTGCCACTTCCCGAATACCTGGACTCTGGCCAGTGCTCCTGTGCAGAGGAAACATGGCAGTTCCTTTCTACCTGACCCCCATCTAGAAATCCAGATGCCCCCCCCAACCCGCACTGCCATCACCAGAAATCCAGTGCCCCACATACATGCTCCCTGGGTATTCAAGATTGAAAGGGAAGTAAGGAATAACATTTCCCCGTCATTCCATGCAATTTAAACCCCTCTTCAATCATCATTTTGGCTTGCCCCAAATTTTCTTTTTGTTTTGTTTTCTTTGAGACAGGGTCTCCCTGTGTCACCCAGGCTGGAGTACAGTAGCACAATCTCAGCGCACTTCAACCTCCACCTCCCGTGCTCCAGCAATCCTCCCGCATCAGCCTCCTGAATAGCTGGGACCACAGGGGCGTGCCACCATGCCTGGCTAACTTTTTTGTAAGCTCACTGCAACCTCCACCTCCAGGGCTCCAGCAGCCCTCCTGCCTCAGCCTCCTGAGTAGCTGGGACCACAGGGGCATGCCACCATGCCCGGCTAACTTTTTTTGTATTTTTTTGTAAGACACAGGGTTTTATCATGTTGCCTAGACTGGTCTTGAACTCCTGGGCTCAAGTGGTCCGCCCACCTCAGTCTCCCAAAGTCTGGGATTATAGGTGTGCACCACTGCACCAAGCCAACTGCCCCAAATGTTCATGTAAGAACAGTGACTCTTGTTCTACAAGGAGAGAAACATGGTCCTGGGCCATTTTTTTAGTGAACACTGTAACTTAACTGCCTTAACTACAGTAAGGGCAGAATAAAGAGGCTGAAATTGGAACACGATAAAGTTAGTTTACAGGCTAGGATAGCTTGTCAACTGTAGGGACTAAGGGCATGTGACCCCATGAAAGATGGGGCTCACACTGCTGGGGTCTCTTGTGGGCATTTCTTTTTTTAAAGAGATGGTGAGCCAGGCGCGCTGGCTCATGCTTGCAATCCCAGCACTTTGGGAGGCCAAGGCGAGGATCACTCAAGGCCAGGAGTTCAATTAACAGCCTGGGTAACACAGTGAGACCTACAGATAATTTAAAAATTATCCAGGCTTGGTGGTGTACATCTGTGGTCCCAGTTACTTAGGATGCTGAGGTGGGAGAATCACTTGAGCCCAGGCGGACGAGGCTGCAGTGAGCCAAGATCGTGCCCCTGCCCTCCAGCCTAGGTGACAGAGCGAGACCCTGTCTCAAAGCATAAAAGAATAAAGTGACGAGGGGGTCTCACTATGTTGCCCAGGCTGGACTTGAACTCCTGGCCTCAAGTGATCCTCCTGCCTCAGCCTCCAGAGTAGCTGGGATTACAGGTGTGTACCACCGTGCCTGGCCTGTGGGCTTTCGTTTTTTGTTTTGTTTTGTTTTGAGACACAGTCTCACTCTGTTGCCCAGGCTGGAGTGCAGTGGTGCGATCTCGGCTCACTGCAACCTCTGCCTCCCGGTTTCAAGTGATTGTCCTGCCTCAGCCTCTCAAGTAGCTGGGACTACAGGCATGCACCACTACGCACAGCTCATTTTTTGTTGTTGTTGTTGTATTTTAGTAGAGATAGGGTTTCACCATATTGGCCAAGCTGGTCTCGAACTCCTGACCTCAAGTGATTCGCCCGTCTCGGGCTCCCAAAGTGCTGGGATTACAGGCGCGAGCCACCACGCCTAGCTTCCTGTGGGCTTTTCTATGCCTCTCTGCCAGATCCTTGTGTCCTCATTACAGGATAGAGGTGTGGTTCTCAACATGTGCTCCCCAGACCAGCAGCACCTGGACTCTCCTTAGAAACTAAACTAAACCACAGGGGTAGGGTCCAGCAATCCAAGTCCTGCCAACAGCAAGTCCACCAGGTGATGCTGAGAACCACTGGTGTGGAGAAATTACCTGGTTATTTGCCATCTCTCCTATGAGACCAGTGATTCTCAAACCCTGACTGCCCATGAGAATCACCTGGAAGCTTTTTAAACAAACAAGTGGTCAGCCTGCACTCGGAGCGATTCTGATTGAAGTGCTCTGCAGTAGAACCCAGCACGTTTTTTTACTTTGTTTTGTAAACTTTCCCAGAAGATACTCATCAGTAGCCAAGGAGAGATTCACTCGAGTCATCTGTCAGCTCCTAGTAGACAGGCAATCCAGTTTCTTTCAAGTTTATGTCCCAAGCACCTAAGGGGCTTAGCCCAGAGGTGCTCAGAGAATATTGGATGAATCCATTAGTGAACCCATCAGTAAATAATGGATCCTGAGTTCAGATTTCTCCAAACATACGATCATTAATTGCACCAAACAAGCCCTCAATGCACACACACACACACACACACCCCTCTGCTTACCTGTAAAATATTCTACTTCTTTCTCCAACTCTTGGAAAATCTCATCTGCCTCAGCTTTGCCAAACAGGACTGTGTAACTGCAGTCCAGGCCCTCAGCCCGAATGTGCCGCCAGCTAGGGCCTGCTGAGTGGCCTCCATTCCCTGGGGCCTCTCTCCTGGGCCTCTTCCTTGTGCTTTCTTTGTCTCCTCCCAACACAGCTGGCTCTTCTCCAGTTGGCTCTTGCTCCTCCTGCTTCCTCAAAAGGCCCCCTTGAGCCCCTTTCACCAGGAATCTGTCCATCCTGTCCCCACAGGAAAGAAGGGACGTCAGTGGCGAGGCCAAGACAGAAATTGCTCAAGTTCTATCCCCAGTGCAAAAATCTGTTTGTCCAAGGGGTCTCACAGCAACATTCCTAGTTTCACATTTTCATTTTAAAGTTTAAAACCATGTCCTAGAAAGGAAACAGAAGATGTTAAAGCCGGAAGGGACCCTAGGGACAATCTGATCCAGGGTCTCCCACGTCCACCTGTGCATCAGAATCAGCTGGCTAGCTTGCAAAAACCCAGAGGTCTGCACTCCACGCCTGAGCACCTGAATTTTTAAAGAACTACCTCCTGGGAATTCGCACGCCACAGCTAAACTTAGAAACTACAATCCAAACCCTCATTTTGCAGAAGGGGAAACTGTTGCCCACAGAGGCGAAGAGGTTTGCCCAAAGTCAACTGTCCACCCCTTTAAGGAGGAAGGACCCATAACTGACCTCGCTGCCCCCCACCAGTGTTAAAATAGATCAGTCTAGTGATGCTCAAGTGGATACGATTCAGAAGCGAGACGCAAAGAGGTTAAACACGGGTAAACCGCACGCAAAATTCTGATATCACTGCAACACGTCCGTGGGGTGGGGGTGGCAAGAGTGCTCTAGCATCGCAGCTCCGGCGCAGATCGGAATCCCGCAGTCACCCTGGTGGCCTCGTGGTGGGAAAGACGCGCCCCAGCGAATCGGTCGCGTCACTTCCGGAGCACGCTGGGAACTACGGCAGGCTAGGGCGCAAAGAGAGCAGCCGGGCGGCCCCCTGGTGCCACCTGCTGGCCTCCCGTGTGTGGCAAGCACTGCCGCTTTCCCGTTGATCACCTGTTGGGCCACTGTCGAGAATCACGGCTGGGGTGAGAACTGTGGCTTGGCGTCACTTCTCAGTGAGGGTTACTTTGGTGTCCGGAAAGGGCGTTGGGCCACCAGTATATTGTCACGAGTGGGAGCAGGAGTTCTGCAGTCGGATATCGTGGATTCTGTTTCTGTCTCCTCCGCCCTGGCTGTGTGGCCTCCCACAGGTCACTTAACCTCTCTGGGGTTAAGTTGCCTCATCTGTGAAGTGCGGACTACAGCACCTATGTCATGAGAGCGCCTGAGGAGATGACAGGATGCATGAGAAATGCTCTGTCCTCTAAATAAATGTTGGTTCCATTATTGCTCGTTTTTCTTTGTTTTCTTGTTTTTTGATGTTGTTCTTGTTTGTTTTGTTTTTTTGAGACAGGATCTCACTCTGTTGCCCAAGCTGGAATGCAATGGCATGATCATAGCTCACTGCAGCCTTGAACTCCTGGGTTAGAGCGATCCTCCCGTCTCAGCCTCTGGAGTAGCTGGGACTACAGGCACATCCCACCCCACCCTAAATAATTTTTTTATTATTTTTAGTAGAGATAGGGCCTTGCTATGTTGCCCAGGCTGGTCTCAAGCTCCTGGGCTCAAGTGATCCTCCCACCTGGGCCTCCCAAATTGTTGGGATTACAGGCGTGAGCCACCACGACCGGCTCCTAATTTTTATTTACTCTGTCTCCCCTCAATGGAACGAAAGCTCCATGAGATCAGAGGCTTTGTTTTGACAGATTTCAACAAATGTACAATATTGTATGATCACCACCACAATCAAGATCTAAGACAGTTCCGTCCCTCCATAAAACTGCTCCAGCCTCTTAATCAACTTCGCCCATCACCCAGCATCAGCAACCACTGATCTGTCTTCTCTCCCTATAGTTTTGCCTTTTCCAGAATTTCATATACAGGGAATTGCCGTGGTTTGAATATCTGTTCCTCCAAAATCCGCGTTGAAATTTAATCCTCAGTGTGGCAGTATTGAGAGGTGGGGCCTTGAAGAGGTGATTGGGACATGAGAGCTCTGTCATAATGTCCTCATAAATGAATTAATAGATTAATGGGCTCAGGGGTTAATGGGTTAATGGGTTACCGTGGGAGTGGGACTGGTGGCTTTATAAAAGGAAGAAGAGAGACCTGAGCTAGCACACTCAGGCCCCTCGCGATGTGATGCCCTACACGGCTTCAGGACTCAACAGAGTCCCCACCAGCAAGAGGGTTTTCACCAGATGCAGCCCCTCAACCTCGGACCTCTCAGCCTCTATGAGAAATGCCTTTGTGGGACTTCTTTCACTTAAGCATATTGCTTTTAAGATTCATTTATGCGCCCCCCCACCTCCCCGCTTTTTTTTGTGAGACAAGGTCTGGCTCTACTGCCTAAGCTGGAGTGCAGTTGCATGATCTCGGCTCACTGCAACCTCCACTTCCCAGGCTCCACTCCCACCTCAGCCTCCCAAGTAGCTGGGACTACAGGCATGCACCACTACACCCGGCTAATTTTTGTATTTTTTGTAGAGATGGGTTTTTGCCATGTTGCCCAGGCTGGTCTCCATAGTCTTCAGCTGGTGAGCTGAAGAAATCCGCCTGCCTTGGCCTCCCAAAGTGCTGGAATTGCAGTCATGAGCCGCTGTGCCCAGTCGTATATGCACATTTGTATTACTTATTTGTTCCTTTTTATTACTGGTATAGAAGGGATGCCCCACAGGAGTAGGCCCCACATAGGGTTGTTTCTCTGATTTTAGGTTACTATGAGTAAAATCACTATAAACATTCACATACAAGCTTTGTGAATATAGTTTTTCATTTCCCTTGGGTAAATAATGCCTAGGTGTGGGAGTGCTGGGTCATAGTGGCTCTAAGGGCAAATGATTTTCAGCTTTGAGCCTCTCTCCCTTAGACTTCAGCTTCTTGTCCTAGGCACTGGGACACACCAGCAACAAGAAGCAGCAAGTTCCTTTCTTCACTCAGGTTACATTTCGGGGATGGAGACAGAAACACACAAGGAAAGAATAAATAATATGCTGTCTCTAAAGAAATTGTGTAAAAAGAAAAAATAAATAAGATGCTTTTGTATAGTATAGCAGTTATAGAGCAATGGGCTAGAAAGTGGGGCAGGAGGAGAAGTCCTTTTCAGGGAAAGATCCTGAGCTGAGACCTGAGGCTTTCCAGGCAAGGGGACGGTGAATGCAAGGGTGTGCAGGCCACAGGGGGACAAGCTGGGTGTGTCCAGCAATTGTGCTGGGAGCTGGACTCAGTAGTGGGGGCTTCCATCAGAGAGGAGGCAGCACTGAGACCTGGGTAGGAAGCTGGGGTTTATTCTAAGCCTTTTTGAAAACCAAAGAAGGGTTTTAACCTAAGGATTGTCTTTTTTTTCTTTTTCTTTTTTTTGTTTGTAGACAGGGTCTTGCTCTGTCACCCAGGCTGGAGTGCAGTGGCACAATCTCAGCTCACTGCAACCTCCGCCTCCCGGGTTCAAGTGATTCTCCTGCCTCAGCCTCCTGAGTAGCTGGGATTGCAAATGCATGCCACCACGCCTGGCTAATTTTTGTATTTTTAGTAGAGACGGGGTTTCACCATGTTTGCCAGGCTGGTCTCGAACTCCTGTGCTCAAGCGATACGCCCCTCCTTGGCCTCCCAAAGTGTTGGGATTACAGGCGTGAGCCACCGAGCTGGGCCAGGCCCCAGGTATTGTCATGATGTAAAAATCTCTCTCTAGAAAAGAGAACACCAGCTTCCCAGCTGGTCTTCTGTAGCTAGGAGATGCAAGAGCAGCAGTTGAATTTGAGGTTTGCTTTGGAGAAAGAACCAAAAGCAGATATGGATGGTTTGGATGTGAGGGAGGGAAAGAGAATCCTAAGTGTATTAGTAGTGGTGGGAGGAGGTTCGGTACAGTGGTGTCATTTGGAAGACAAATCGTTGGTGTTTAACCTCTATGACCCGAAAGTCTCCCACAAGCCTGATACATTAGGCAAAATGTTTGACTGCACTAAGCCTTAGTTTATCGTCATAAAATAGGCCATGAAAATTGCGTGAGAAAATGTATATAACAGTTCAACAAATAATATTGGCTGGGTGTGGTGGCTCATGCCTGTAATCCCAGCACTTTGGGAGGCCAAGGTGGGCAGATCGCCTGAGGTCAGGAGTTCGAGACCAGACTGGCCAACATGGTGAGATCCCCCATCTCTACTAAAAAAATACAAAACACACTTGGGCAAACATGGTGAAACCCCATTTCTACTAAAAATAGAAAAATTAGCCAGGCGTGGTGGCGCGCGCCTATAATCCTAGCTGAGGCACGAGAATCGCTTGAATCCGGGAGGCGGAGGTTGCAGTGGGCTGAGATCACACCACTGCATTCCAGCCTGGGCGACAGAGCAAGACTCTGTCTCAAAAACAAAATACACACACAAAATATAATAGTATTTGTTTGTTTGTTTGTTTTTGAGATGCCTCGGATTACAGTGCGGGGATTACAGACGTGAGCCATCAAGCCCGGACAATATTATTATATTGTTCATTGCACTCCCACAACACCCCTAAGGGGCAGGAACTTTTCTTCCCAGCCCCCTCCCCCCGACCCCACCGAGAGACAGGGTCTCGCTCTGTCGCCCAGGCCTGGAGTGCATTGGCGCGATCAAAGCTCACTACAGCTCAGACCCTCTGGCCTCAAGCGATCCTCCAGCCTGGGCCTCCCAAAGCGCTAGGATTACAGGCGTGGGCCACCGCGCCTGACCAGTCTTCTCTTCTTGCAGCTGAGCCTTAAGAGCCTGTCCAAAGAGCAGAGGTGGGCTGAAGGCACAAAGCGAATGAAAGAATAGGCCCCCGGGCACCGTTGCACGCCCCACCTCCTCCCAGGGGCGTTGCACTCCAGCCCCTCCCGCACATGCGCACTGGGCCTTCCACCGCCCCCCGCCCCCAGCAAAGCCCCCCGCTCGGAGCATGCGCGGGCCGCTTGGCGCCAATTGCTGACCGCCACAGCCACAGCCAGGGCTAGCCTCGCCGGTTCCCGGGTGGCGCGCGTTCGCTGCCTCCTCAGCTCCAGGATGATCGGCCAGAAGACGCTCTACTCCTTTTTCTCCCCCAGCCCCGCCAGGAAGCGACACGCCCCCAGCCCCGAGCCGGCCGTCCAGGGGACCGGCGTGGCTGGGGTGCCTGAGGAAAGCGGAGATGCGGCGGTGAGGCGCGGCTTGGGCCGGGGCTAGGGGGTGAAGGGGGAGGAAGGCGGTGGGCCCCGCCTGACGGAGGGCGTGCAGGATCGCGCCTCTGACTCGGTAAACCCGGGCTCCGCTTTCCAAATAGCCTCCACGTGTTCAAAATAGCCGCCGCTGTCCCCCATGGGCCGCCATGCTAAAGGGCCAGCCAATGGGAACGCGTCTCGGGGCCCATGGCGCCAATCCGCGCGCCGCAGGCCCTCCTGGCTCGGTGCGCTGTCCAATCAGAGGGGAGAGGGGGCGGGACCCAGAGGGAGGTTTTTTGCCGCGAAAAGACCACGTGGGGACGCGGTGGGGCGGGTCTGGCGGGGGCGGGGCACCTCTGTGCAGGGTTCCCAGTCACCGCGACGCTCCTCGGGAAGCCATAGGGCGCCTCCCAGCCCGTCTCCCCGCTCCAGTTTAGAACCTAATTCCCAATTCCCGGACCGGGCCCAGCCCTGGGCTCTTACTGTCCGCTTTTGCTGGGACCTGTTCCACAAATGGGCGTCTTCTGCCTTGGGCCGTGGGGGTTGGGCCGGAAGCTGCGGACGCCTGGGAAGGGGCCGCTGCAGCTCTTGAGCCGCCTCTGCGGGGACCACTTGCAGGCCATCCCAGCCAAGAAGGCCCCGGCTGGGCAGGAGGAGCCTGGGACGCCGCCCTCCTCGCCGCTGAGTGCCGAGCAGTTGGACCGGATCCAGAGGAACAAGGCCGCGGCCCTGCTCAGACTCGCGGCCCGCAACGTGCCCGTGGGCTTTGGAGAGAGCTGGAAGAAGCACCTCAGCGGGGAGTTCGGGAAACCGTATTTTATCAAGGTAAATATGGAAATGCACCTTCCATAAGGGTAAATGTGGAGGCTGCCGGCCCTTTTGTCTTGTTAGTGTAGCCGGCCAAGTTCATGTTTCCGTAGGCTTAGGTTGTACCCCCTTCAACCTCCTTTACTCACAAAGGGGGTAAAAGAAAGCCATGATGTTTCACTCTGCAGCTTTATATTGGTTAAAGTTGTTAACGACCCGCGAGATGATATCATGGATTCATTTAAGTCACATAGTCTATTGTCCAGGAAAGGCTGGCGTAGTAAAATCACCAACCATCCTGAATGAAACCTGGCTTGAGCTTTAAAAAGCCGAGAGGAGTGGCACTGTCAGGACCCAGCCCAGAGAAAGAGGCAAGGAATTGACCTGATTGAACCACTTAGGTGGGGGGGCAGGCACTGTTTTTGTTTGTTGTTTTTTAAAAGAATTTGGACATAACATGACAAAGAACTAATGATGTTCCAAATAACTTGCACTAGAAGCTTTCTTATTGAATTCTTATGGTTTCCAATGAGAATCTGATTTTAAGTCTAGTTTATCTTTAAATCAGCTAATGGGATTTGTTGCAGAAGAAAGAAAGCATTACACTGTTTATCCACCCCCACACCAAGTCTTCACCTGGACCCAGATGTGTGACATAAAAGATGTAAGTACAACTTGTTGATAATTTTTATTGGGGAGAAGGAGTCAAATAGTATTTTTAAATTAGGGACACTGGAGTTAAGCCACAGTCCATCATTCAGTAGTAAATAAAACACTGAAATCCCGAGGTTTGGCTGACTGTATTTCAGCCTGTATTTACTCTTTTTAATGTTTACCACGTGGTATTTATGTGGCAAAAAGGAAAACTATGTACATCCTGTGCTCTTATTTCTTGTATTTTTTTTAAATCCTGAAACTAACCTCCCGCGGTGTCAGATGTTATGGTGGTGGTGAAGTTCAAACTGACACACAAAGCAGTTAAATCTTTTGCAGCTTGTTATAGTCAACCCCACCTTGACCTGACCACACTGCCTTATAGTTAGCACTTTCAAGCTCTTGACTTCTGGCCTGAACAGTTTTGTGGTTCTGTTATCAGATCCCTTTGCTTTAGTTTGTCTTATATAACAGTTGCTGGTTGGCGGCTCTCATCCATCTTGTGTTCAGAAGTTCGTGGGGCTGGGCACGGTGGCTCATGCCTGTAATCCCAGCACTTTCGGAGGCCAAAGTGGGAGGATCATTTGAGGTCAGGAGTTCAAGACCAATGAAACCTGGTCTCTCCTAAAATACAAAAATTAGCCGGGCATGGTGGCGCACGCCTGTAATTCCAGCTACTTGGGAGGCTGAGGTGGGAGAATCGCATGAGCCCAGGAGGCGGAGGTTGCAGTGAGCTGAGATCACACCACTTCACTCCAGCGTGGGCGACAGAGCCAGACCCTGTCTCAAAACAAAAAAAAAACCGTGGCTTCTCACTGTTGAACTATGAAAGCAGAGCAACCCTCTTTAAATAGGGCCACGTCCTACCTCTCAGCCTTACCTCCACCTCCCACTCTCCCACTCCAGAGTTGGACAGTGTGGCAAACCCCTCCCCACTTCTGTCTCTTAAAAATCAAGTAGATGCCTCTGTGGCACCTCCTTGAATTGAAGTCCGTTGCCTGCCACCTCTGTGATCCAGTTTTCCTCTGAGCTGCTACGATGCATTTAGCACCTGCTGACACTGGACTTTTAGGTTTCTTACCCGTTTTCCTCCCCCGTTTTGTAAACTGGGGCAAGAATCTTGTGATTTAATGAATATCTGTGAAATGACATAGAAGTGAAATAGGTGAATAAATCATCTTGATAAGGCAGCCACACCTAATACTTAGAAAATCTCGTAAGCTTAATTTTAGAGTAAGAATTTAGAATCTAGCTCTTTGGTTTTGAAGCTAAATTAAATCCTATTAAGATCAATACTAATTTGCTTCTTGTTTGAATGCCCTATTCTGAATACCAGTAATCAGTATAAACAGGGAATATTAAAAGGAATATTTTGAGGGAATGCTCAAAAACCAGTTTCAAACCTATGAGGATCAGATGGGCCAGCAGGGCTTCTTGACAGACCAGCATTGGGAGAGTTGTTTCACAAGAGAATATGTTGGCATGGTGTGAACACCAAGGGGAGGGACAAGAGGTCCCCAAAAGCCTCCTGGTCATGGAACATCTGGAGCTGGATTCTGAAAGATAGAGTATGTCAGCTGTGGAGGAAGATTCTAAGAACGCAATGGCAGAAGCTTGAGAATGAAGACTAGGTGGGTGGGCCCTGGATGGGAAGGACGAGGCGGCCTATGTTTCAACACCTCCCGTGACAGGAACTTCATTTCATTTCATTGTCTCTTGCCACCTACTCCCATGGCCCTTTTGATCTGACCTCATTCTCTTCTGGCTCCACCTGTTAGAGGATATAGGGGAGCAGACACCCTCATATGCTGCTGGTGGGAAATCTGAATTGCTTTTTTTTTTTTTTTTTTTTTTTTTTTTTGAGATGGAGTGCAGTGGTGCAATCTCGGCTTACTGCAACCTCCACCCCCTGGGTTCAAGCGATTCTCCTGCCTCAGCCTCCCGAGTAGCTGGGACTACAGGTGTGCGCCACCACACCCAGCTAATTTTTGTATTTTTAGTAGAGATGGGGTTTCACCATGTTGGCCAGATGGTTTCGATATCTTGACCTCGTGATCTGCCTACCTCGGCCTCCCAAAGTGCTGGGATTACAGGCGTGAGCCACCATGCCAGGCCCTAAATTGCTTTAATTCATCGAAAAGTAACTGGGGGCTAGGCACAGTGGCTCATGCCTGTAATCCCAGCATTTTGGGAGGCCGAGGAGGGAGGATCCCTTGATCTCAGGAATTTGAGACCAGCCTCAGCAACATAAGGGAGGCCGTGTGTCTACAAAAAGTAAAAAAAAAATTAGGTGGGCATAGTGGTGCACTCCTGTGGGCCCAGCTACTCTGGAGGCTCAGGTGGGAGGACCACTTGAGCCCAGGAGGGCGAGGCTGCCATGAGCTGTGATGGCACCACTGCACATCAGCCTGAGCAACACAGCAAAACCGTGTCTCAAAAAATTAAAAAAGCAGCTAGGTACATATCTTTACAAGTTTAAAATACGCTTAGCCTTTGACCAGCAACTCTGCTATTAGCAATCTATGCCATAGAAGTGTTTTATTTGTTTTGTTTATGTTTGTTTGAGGCAGGGTCTGTGCTGCTTACATTACAGTATTGTTTAATTCCTGACCCCTGGTGGTTCACAGGTGAAGGTTGTCATCCTGGGACAGGATCCATATCATGGACCTAATCAAGCTCACGGGCTCTGCTTTAGTGTTCAAAGGCCTGTTCCGCCTCCGCCCAGGTACAGTTGCTTTACAGGTGACTGCAGTCCAGACATGATTCCTTTCAGATGTGTACTTAGCTTATTACAAGTGGGACTATCTGGGGCACTGTTCACTAGCCTTGGAGGAGGATTTCTCGGCCTCAGCACCATTGACATTTGGGGCTGAGTCATTCTTTGTTGTGGAGGAGGAGAGGAGTCCTGTGCTATTGCAGGATCTTGTGCCACATCCCTGGCCTCTACCACTGGAAACCAGGAGCAACCCCCAGCTCGTGATAATGAAAAATGTGCAGACATTGCCAAAAGTCCCTTGGGGGCGTAAAATCACCCCTGGTTAAGAACCACTGCTTTGGGCCGGGCGCGGTGACTCACGCCTGTAATCCCAGCACTTTGGGAGGCTGAGGCAGGAGAATCGCTGGATCCCGGGAGGCGGAGGTGGCAGTGAGCCGAGATCCTGCTACTGCACTCTAGCCTGGGTGACACAGCAAGACTGGAAAAAAAAAAAAAAGAACCACTGCTTTTGGAGGATTTGGTGTATGATATACATAAATATGCTAAGGACAGAAAACTGTCCCTGAGCAACAGTGGGGGTCTGGGTTGTAACTGCTGGGTTGATTTACTTAGGTTTTCCAGAGTGCTGTTAAATCCAAGTACAGACTAAAGTAAAGGTCTTTGGCAGAGTCACCTGTTAGAAGGAGGACTGGCAGTGTTGATCTCATTAATCGGCGCCATATGTGCCAGTGTCCCTTCCAAGGGCTGGCTGTAACTTCTAACCTTTTCACATATGTCTTAGACGTTACTGAGCTTTCAAAATTATGCTTAAGATTCTGTTTTTTGTTTTTCTTGTGGCTTGCTTTCAGTTTGGAGAACATTTATAAAGAGTTGTCTACAGACATAGAGGATTTTGTTCATCCTGGCCATGGAGATTTATCTGGGTGGGCCAAGCAAGGTAAGCCAGCGACTGCTAGATTTTTTTTTTTTTTTTTTTTTTGAGACCGAGTCTCACTCTGTTGCCCAGGCTAGAGTGCAGTGGTGCAATCTCAGCTTACTGCAACCTCTGCCTCCCAGGTTCAGGCGATTCTCATGCCTCAGCCTCCTGAGTAGCTGGGACCACAGGCATGAGCCACCATAGCTGGCTAATTTTTTAATGTATTTTTAGTAGAGACAGGGTTTCACCATGTTGGCCAGGCTGGTCTCGAACTCCTGACCTCAGGTGATCCGCCCGACTCGGCTTCCCAAAGTGCTGGGATTACAGGCATAAGCCACCACGCCCAGCCCCGACTCCATTGTTGATGGTAGTGGCTGCTGCCATTATGCCGGCTGCAGCAGGGAAGCACAGCTTGCTACACTGGATCCCATCAAGCATTGGTTTCATCATGGATTTAGCTCCTGTTGCTGGGTATTGGGCTGATTTGCCTGAGCCTACATTTAACCTGTTTCTCTCATGTGTATAGGTGTTCTCCTTCTCAACGCTGTCCTCACGGTTCGTGCCCATCAAGCCAACTCTCATAAGGAGCGAGGCTGGGAGCAGTTCACTGATGCAGTTGTGTCCTGGCTAAATCAGAACTCGAATGGCCTTGTTTTCTTGCTCTGGGGCTCTTATGCTCAGAAGAAGGGCAGTGCCATTGATAGGGTATGTTTTGTTTTCTTTCTTTTTTTTCTTTTTTTTTTAACACTATAAAAACAATGTAAAGAATTCTAGGAGTCCCTGCTGTGTTTGGTCCTGGAAAATCCATGTTATAAAATAACTTTTATTTTCCCTTAGGCCTGTTATAAGGGTTTCCCATTGAAAACTGAGAAGAATTTGGACAAATTATAGGGGTGATGAGTTGTGTATGAGGAAAGCAAAGCAACTGGCCAACTTGTGACTGAATGCAGTTGGTGCTGTAGGCATGAACTTGGTGTCTACAAGATACAAGTCCCTGGGTACCATTCACTTAACAAGTGATGGATGAGGCATGTTTCTGGCTTCCAAGAAATTTGGGAACATATAGAAAACACAAAGAATTCCACTCAATCACAAATTTAACTTGCCCATGAAAATACTATCAGTGATCATTATTGTTTTGTTTCTGGGTTTTTTGTTTTTTGATGGAGTCTCGCTCTGTTGCCCAGGCTGTAGTGCAGTGGTATGATTTTGGCTCACTGCAACCTCCGCCTGCTGGGTTTAAGTGATTCTGCCTCAGCCTCCCGAGTAGCTGGGACTACAGGCGCCCGCCACCACACCCGGCTGATTTTTTTTTATTTTTTAGTAGAGACAGGGTTTCACCATGTTGGCCAGGCTGGTTTTGAACTCCTGACCTCAAGCGATCTGTCCTCCTCAACCTCCAAAGTGCTAGGATTACAGGCATGAGCCACCACACCCGGCCTATCGGTGATCATTATTAACCCCAAGGTCTAATTGCAGATACCCAACACGACCAAACCAGTGGCTCCCCTCCCTACATCTTCCCCCTATCTGCTACCTCCCTCTTTCCCTTCACTCACTGAAGCACTTCTACACCTGGTTGTGGAAATCAGAGACCTAAAAGTCATCCTTGAATCCTCCATCCCATCAGTAAATCCCATCAACTCTGCCTCCCAAAACACCCCAGTCTACTGCTTCTCATTCGCCACTGCTGCCCTTCAGGCATGAGTCACCATCATCTTTCTCCAGGAGAACCGTGATGGACTAGAGATGGAGGCTTGATGGAGAGCCGCAGAGTGGAGGAGGGAGAGATAGGGGGTGGGAAGGAGACGAGCCAGGGGTGTGTTCATCCCTGGCAAATGGGAGAGACATTGGGTGGGGGAGAAATTATAGAGTAAATGCTTCAATGATCGAAGGCAAGGGCTTAGCAGAGGTAACCTGACAATAGTTTTTGGTGTATCAGCAGGAGGTAACGGGGGTATCAGAAATGTGCACGTATATTTAACCCCTACCTTGTGTGGGTACTAGGTTGAGCACTTTTGTTTTTTGAGATGGAGTCTTTCTGTCACCCAGGCTGGAGTGCAGTGGCATGATCTCGGCTCACTGCAACTTCGCCTCCTGGGTTCAAGCACTTCTCCTGCCTCAGCCTCCTGAGTAGCTAGGATTACAGTTGCCTGCCACCACACCCAGCTAATATTTTTTATTTTTAGTAGAGACTGGGTTTCACCATGTTGACAAGGCTGGTCTTGAACTCCTGACCTCAAGCGATCCTCCCATCTTGGTCTCCCAAAGTGCTAGGATTACAGATGTAAGCCACCGCACCCGACCAGGTTGAGTACTTTGCATGCAGAATCTTACTTAACTCTCAGAAAGGCTTTGAGGTAGGCATACACTTGTATGAGTGACCTAAGATCTGACTGGTATGAACTGCTAAGATGTGATCATCTAGGTATGTAAGAAGTGTGCGTGAGAGTAATTGCTAATCTCTATCCCTTAGGGAGGTTTACGGCCAGTGTTGCTCTTCCGCAGTATATTGGTAATCTTTAATCATGGTTTGGTCTGAAAGTAAACAGTTGTTAAAGTAGCTTGGTCATTAAAGCCAAATTGCATATCTCCAGCCCAGTGTCTCTTCTGATCTATAGAGTGCCTTGTTACTACTGCCCCATGAACATGCCAAATTCAACATTTTCCAAACGAAGTTTCTCCTTTTCTCATCCATGCTTCACTAAACTTCCTCCTCTGCACTCCCTAGCAGCAAAAAGCACCATCATCTGCCCAGTTGTCCAGCCAGATCTATTACTGACACCTGCCTACCTCTCTTTCTCCCCTCTTCTGTCCTTTTTTTCCACCTTCCCAGTCAGTCAGTCATTCATATCTGTGTTCTTTCTTCCCCCTCCAAATCTACCCCTGCCTGACCACCTTTGCCTTCATTCAGGCCCTCACCTGATCTTGCCTGGAGGGTTCTGATGCTTTCTCCCTGGAAGGCCTTGCCTTAGGCTGAAGATCTGATTTCAGGGGGGTAGAGGGGTGGCCCCCAATCGGCCTCCCAGACTTAACTCTATCCCTCTTTGCACTCCGATCCCTAGGCTGACCCATTCCCCTTTACTTTTTCACGGTGCCCCACTTCCCTGCCTTTGCATATCCTGCTTTCTCTGCCTACAGTGTAGAGGTCATTTTCTTCTGGGATTCTTTAGAGCTCTGCAGGGCTGACATTTACAGGGGCCTGTGCTGCTTGCGTGTGTGTTCAGCATTTGGTGTGCATGACTTCTTATCACACTCAGCCCCTGTGATCCTCATTTGATTGGTCACAGTAACTTCATAAGCTGGGCGGTATTGTTATTCCCAGTCTACAGATGAAAACTGAAGCAGCTTAGAGTTGCAGCAACTTCTCTGTGGTACAGCTACTGAGGGTAGAGGTAGGCCTCGACCCCGGGCAGTCTGGCTCCAGGCTCTGTACTCTTAACCACACTGGATTGCCTGGCTTTAGTCCTCACCCCTCATCGCCCCTCCTGGACTGAGCCCCTTGAAGGCAAGAGTGTTTTGAGAAACAGTGATTTGTTCGTTAGTTTTTATATACAGAAAAGAAGAGGAAAACAAAAATGGTCTATATCTCCCTGTTAAAATAACTATAGTTGATATTTTAAAAAAATCAAAGTAGTCATTTGCCACATAATGATGTTTCAGTCATAAACTGTATATATGACGATGGTCCCATAAGATTATAATATTCTGGCCGGGTGTGGTGGCTCATACCTGTTATCCCAGCACTTTGGGTGGCCGAGGCGAGTGGATTGTCTGAGCTCAGGAGTTTGAGACCAGCCTGGGCAACATAGTGAAACCCTGTCTCTACTAAAATACAAAAAATTAGCCAGGTGTGGCGGCGTGTGCCTGTAGTCCCAGCTACTTGGGAGGCAGAGGTTGCAGTTAGCTGAGATCATGCCACTGCACTCCAGCCTGGCAACAGAGTGAGACTCTATCTCAAAAAAAAAACATATATATATATACACATATATATATACGTATATATATATGTGTATATATATATATATAAAAAATATTTTTACTGCATCTTTTCTATGTTTAGATACACAAATGCCTACCATTGTGTCACAGTTGCCTATAGTATTTAGTACAGTAACATGCTACACAGGTTTGTAGACCAGGAGCAATAAGCTACACTATATAGCCTAGGTGTGTAGTGGTAGGTTATCCCATTTGGGTTTGTGTAAAGATGCCCTGTGGTGTACGGATAGCAGTGAAATTGCCTAACAACACACTTCTCAGAATGCATCCCTGTCATTAGGTGATGTATGACTATTGCTTTTTTTCTTTTGAAACAGGGTCTAGCTCTGTCACCCAGGCTGGAATGCACTGGCTTGATCTCAACTCACTGCGGCCTCAACCTCCCAGGCTCAAGCAATCCTCCCACCTTAGTCACCTGAGTAGCAGGGACCACAGGCGTGCGCCACCACACCTGGCTAATTTTTGTATTTTTTTTTGTGGAGACAGGGTTTCACCACGTTGCCCAGGCTGGCTCTTGAACTCCTGGACTTAAACGATCCTCCTGCCTCGGCCTCCCAAAGTGCTGGGATTACAGGCGTGAGCTACCACACCTGGCCACTGACTATTCCTCTTTTTTTTTTTTTTTTTTTTTTTTCTGAGACAGTTTCACTCTTGTTGCCCAGGCTGGAGTGCAATGGCGTGATCTCAGTTCACTGCAGCCTCCCCCTCCTGGGTTCAAGTGATTCTCCTGCCTCAGCCTCCTGAGTAGCTGGGATTACAGGCATGTACCACCACATCCAGCTAATTTTGTATTTTTAGTAGAGACGGAGTTTCTTCATGTTGGTCAGGCTGGTCTTGAACTCCTGACCTCAGGTGATCCACCTACCTCAGCCTCCCAAAGTGCTGGGATTACAGGTGTGAGCCACCACGCCCGGCCAACTATTCCATTTTTGTGGCGAGATTTTTTTGTTTTTGTTTTTGTTTTTTAATTCTTCCTTCTTAGGAGCTGTAAGACTATTCAGAGAGTTCAGAAAGGCACAAAATGGAAAGTAAATGGCTTCCACTCTTTCTCTTAAAGGAACTACTAAATACAGTGTCTTGGGTATTTTTCTAAAGTTTTTAAAAAATGAAATTATTTTGCATTTTGTTCACTTGGTAAATTTTGGAGGTCATCTCATCAGTATATTTATCTTTCGCATGTTTTTCTAGGAGTTATGTGGTTTTACATTGTAAGAACTTTAGAAAAATACATTTAGCCAGTTCTGTAACACTGAATTGTATACTAGGTTTTAGCTGACATAAGCAGTGTGTCAGTCCCTTTATATGTACCTATTTGTGTAGGTACAACTGGTCCCTGGCTTATGAAGTTTGACCTGATTTTTTTCGACTTTACAATGGTGTATAACCATACTTTGAGCACTCACACGTTGTTTTTTTTTCTTTCTTTAAGAGACAGGGTCTCTTGGCTGGGAGCAGTGGCTCACGCCTGTAATCCCAACACTTTGAGAGGCCAGGGTGGCGGATCACTTGAGCTCAGGGGTTTGAGAACAGCCTGGGCAACATAGTGAGACCTTGTCTCTAAAAAACACAAAAAATTAGCCTGGTGTAGTGGCACGCACCTGTGGTCCCAGGTACTCAGGAGGCTGAGGTGGGAGAGTAACTTGAGCCTAGGAGGTGGAGGCTACAGTGGGCCACAGTCATGCCACTACACTCTAGCCTGGGTGACAGAGTAAGACCCCATCTCAAAAAATAAAAAATTAAAAAAAAAGATCTTGCTCTGTCACCCAGGCTGGAGTGCAGTGGCACAATTATAGCTTTTTGCAGCCTCGAACTCCTGGGCTCAAGTGATCCTGCCACCTCAGTCTTCTGTGTAGCTAGGACTGCAGGTGCATGCCATCACACTTGGCTAACTTTTTAATTTTTTTGTAGAGATGGGGTCTCGCTATGTTGCCTCAGTTGGTTGTAAACTCTTGGTCCCATGCAGTTGTCCTACCTTGGCCTCCCAAAGCACTGGGATTACAGGTGTAAGCCACCGTGACTGGCCCCGTTCTATTTTTCACTTTCAGTACAGTGTTCAATGAGTTACATGAGGTACTAAACACTTCATTGTAAAAGAAGCTTTGTTTTGCCCAGCTGTAGGCTAATGTAGGTGTTCTGAGCATGTTTAAGGTAGGGTAGGTTAAGCTATGATGTTCAGCAGGTTATATGTCATAAATATATCTTCAACTTAGGATATTTTCTACTTAGGATGGGTTTTCCAAGATGTTAACCCCATCCATTGTGTTAATAAGTTGAGGAGTTTATCTGTGTGTGTATGCATCATGGTGTCCTTTAGCAAATACAGTCTTAGCAGTGGAAATTGCTGGCAGTATGATAGGGACACTTGAAAATTGCATAGATAATTGCCAACTTGAAGGCAGAGGGTGGTGCTCTTTGCATCTCAGAGCCTAGCAAAGGTAGGTAGTTGCTCAACAAACGGACTAATGTTCTAATGCAAATGCTGAATGCTCCACTTTGGAAGGGGGAGAATTTAGAGGGCAAAGGGGAATCGCACAGGGTCTTAAAGTGCAACAGCCACAGTCCTTCCTTTTTGGGGAAAAAAAAAAAAAGTCCCGGCCGGGCATGGTGGTTCACGCCTGTAATCCCAGCACTTTGGGGAGGCCAAGGCGAGCGGATCACGAGGTCAAGAGATCGAGACCATCCTGGCCAATATGATGAAACCCCATCTCTACTAAAAATACAAAAATTAGCTGGGTGTGGTGGCACGCGCCTGTAGTCCCAGCTACTTGGGAAGCTGAGGCAGGAGAATCGCTTGAACCCGGGAGGCGGAGGTTGCAGTGAGTCGAGATCACGCCACTGCAGCAAGACTCTGTCTCAAAAAAAAAAAAAAAAAATTTAAAAAGTCCCAAATCTGCCACCATTTATTCTTGATCTTTTTCAGAAGCGGCACCATGTACTACAGACGGCTCATCCCTCCCCTTTGTCAGTGTATAGAGGGTTCTTTGGATGTAGACACTTTTCAAAGACCAATGAGCTGCTGCAGAAGTCTGGCAAGAAGCCCATTGACTGGAAGGAGCTGTGATCATCAGCTGAGGGGTGGCCTTTGAGAAGCTGCTGTTAACGTATTTGCCAGTTACGAAGTTCCACTGAAAATTTTCCTATTAATTCTTAAGTACTCTGCATAAGGGGGAAAAGCTTCCAGAAAGCAGCCATGAACCAGGCTGTCCAGGAATGGCAGCTGTATCCAACCACAAACAACAAAGGCTACCCTTTGACCAAATGTCTTTCTCTGCAACATGGCTTCGGCCTAAAATATGCAGAAGACAGATGAGGTCAAATACTCAGTTGGCTCTCTTTATCTCCCTTGCCTTTATGGTGAAACAGGGGAGATGTGCACCTTTCAGGCACAGCCCTAGTTTGGCGCCTGCTGCTCCTTGGTTTTGCCTGGTTAGACTTTCAGTGACAGATGTTGGGGTGTTTTTGCTTAGAAAGGTCCCCTTGTCTCAGCCTTGCAGGGCAGGCATGCCAGTCTCTGCCAGTTCCACTGCCCCCTTGATCTTTGAAGGAGTCCTCAGGCCCCTCGCAGCATAAGGATGTTTTGCAACTTTCCAGAATCTGGCCCAGAAATTAGGGCTCAATTTCCTGATTGTAGTAGAGGTTAAGATTGCTGTGAGCTTTATCAGATAAGAGACCGAGAGAAGTAAGCTGGGTCTTGTTATTCCTTGGGTGTTGGTGGAATAAGCAGTGGAATTTGAACAAGGAAGAGGAGAAAAGGGAATTTTGTCTTTATGGGGTGGGGTGATTTTCTCCTAGGGTTATGTCCAGTTGGGGTTTTTAAGGCAGCACAGACTGCCAAGTACTGTTTTTTTTAACCGACTGAAATCACTTTGGGATATTTTTTCCTGCAACACTGGAAAGTTTTAGTTTTTTAAGAAGTACTCATGCAGATATATATATATATATTTTTCCCAGTCCTTTTTTTAAGAGACGGTCTTTATTGGGTCTGCACCTCCATCCTTGATCTTGTTAGCAATGCTGTTTTTGCTGTTAGTCGGGTTAGAGTTGGCTCTACGCGAGGTTTGTTAATAAAAGTTTGTTAAAAGTTTGTTTTGTGCAAGTGTCCTTTGTGCGTCCAGGCCAGGGCATCCATGGACGTCCTTGGGCTGCCCTTTCCCTTGGCGCCTCCCAGGGTTCCCATAGCAACCACCGTCTGCAGGAGGGGCCGCCCTTGCCCCTCCTCCCCGCCCTGCCGCTCAGTGGAACGGCCCAACCCTCCCCTGGCTGCGGTGAGCGCTGGGCCCAACCCCCGGCCTGGAGCAGCGCCCCAACTCCGAGCACCGTGGAGCACCGGCTGCCAGCTGAGACCCCAGAGGGGTAACTAACGGCCTGAGGAAGGCATTTCTTCGGGGAACATGGCGTGCCCGTCGTGGCTACGTTCTGCCAAGCCCTGTGACGTTGGAGGGGAGCCGCCTGCATCCCCCGCTCAGCCAGTGTTTCTAGACTCCGAGACATCTGGAACTCGGAAGTGAGGCCAGGGCTCCAGGAAGACTCCCTGATGACGCACTGGCCCGCAGCCCAGGCTCAGGTAGTGGGGGCTGTCAGGATGATCTGTGGGATCCCCCAGTGTCCGAAGAAAGAAGCCACAATTGTGTTTTTTTTTCTTTCTTTCTTTTTCTTTTTTTTTTTTTGAGCGAGTCTCACTCTGTCGCTCAGGCTGAAGTACAGTGGCGCGATCTCGGCTCACTGCAACCTCTGCCTCCAGGGGTCAAGCAATCCTCCCACCTCAGCCTCCCAAGTAGCTGGGATTACGAGCATGCACTACCACGCCCGGCTAATTTTTGTACTTTTAGTAGAGAAACTTTTAACTAAATGGGCAAGAAAGAATGCATCCAGCCAGAACCTCGAGACTAGCAAATGCATTTCTTAAAAGGGCAGGGAGGGAGACCAGAGTTTGCTTGAAAATACTGCTTCCTTTCCTTATCTATGTAGGGAAGGGTTTATCATTCTACATTTTGTGGTCAGCAAGCTGGCTTTCACGGGAGGAGGATGCATGGTCGATTTGCCCTCTGGTAACTTTGGGATCTTCCTCTAAACAACAGTGGACTCCCTTAGCCAAGGAAGAAGTGAAGGGATAATTGTGCTTACACCAGTTAGCTTTTCACACTTCTCTCTCTCCCGGTGCAGCACTGCCGGTAGGGGGAGCAGTGAGCTCCAAGTTTCCAGGAATAATTCAAAACACAATTATTTTATATTTTAAAATATAAAATGTATATTTTAAATATATATACATACATTTCTATATAATATATACAAAAGTTCAATATACGTATATTGAATATATATGTATATAAGTTCAATATATATGTATGTATATTCAATATATATGTATGTATATATGTATATATATTCAATATATATGTGTATATATTGAACTTTAGTCATGTGGTGACACTTTAAACAGTACACAGAGCAGCTTCTGGGTCCATGACCCTCCAAAAATTTAATTACTGATTCTTTAGAAACTAGGCAACTCAGCCAGGTGTGGGGGCTCACGCCTGTAATCCCAGCACTTTGGGTGGCCGAGGTGGGTGGATCACCTGAGGTCGGGAGTTCAAGACCAGCCTGACCAGCATGGAGAAACCCTGTCTCCACTAAAAATACAAAATTAGCCAGGCGTGGTGGCACATGCCTGTAATCCCAGCTACTTGGGAGGCTGAGGCAGGAGAATCACTTGAACCCGGGCGATCGCACCATTGCACTCCAGACTGGGCAACAAGAGCATAAGAGCAAAACTCCGTCTCAAAAAAAAAAAAAAAAAAAAACCAACCAGGCAACTCATTTTGATGAACTCTTAGCTATGTGGTAGTTGCTTTTTTCATGTGTCAAGTCTGCTATATTCCTGCACTCAGTATGCAAAGATGCATAAAAGGCAGTCTTAGCCTTTTAGGTCAGCGGTTGGCAAACTTTCTGTGAAGGGTCAGGTGGTAAATATTTGAGGGTTTGCAGTTACCCGTTCTCCGTGGGAACTGCTCAACAACTCACTGCAGAGAAAGCAGCCGTGGGCAAAACGTACAGGAACGGGCGAGGCTGTGTTCCAATAAAACTTTATTATTTATGGACACTGAAATTAGATTTTAATATGATTTTCATGTGTCACGAAATCTTTTTTTTTCCTAAGCATTTAACAAATGTAAAAACCACTCCTAGCTTGGGAGCTATTGGAAAACAGGCATCTGGAACCACAGTCTGCAGACCCCTGTGTGTACTCACTGTCAGTGCGGTGGGAACAAAAAGGCAGCAACGGCTGGGTCAGCCCAGGAAAGAAGACATTTCCCAGTGGAGAGAATGTCTGAGTGGATATTGAACTTTCCAGGCCACAAAGAGGAACAAGAGCATTCAACACTGAGGAGCCTGCCTCTGCAAAGGCAGGACCCACATGCTGGATGTGGAGCTGGATGGTTCCACGTGGCAAGGTTTGGGAGGCTTCTGAGAACCTGGCCTAATGATTCCTGTTTCCTCCCTTTTCAGGTGAGTTAGGGAGATCTCTGACAGCTTTTGGAATTGGTAACACAAGGAAGTCAGTTATTAGCAAATGTTGTACTGGAAACGTCCAGTTATAAAATAATTAATTGTGTGAAAGTCACTGCCTGCTTTTGATCTACATCCAGCAGGGGAAGGTCAGGGACTATAAATTGTTTGCATTTTTTAAAGATAGACTTTAGCATGTTGCTAGTATGCTTGCATTATTAGATAATACATCTCTGTTCAAATTCACTTTCTGCTTCAGTTTGCTTCTCATATAAAAGTCTTCGCAAGTATGTTTGGTGGAGAAGCAAACTTTTTGGCGTATGCGTGTGGTGTTGGCTTTTCATCCTTGCCAAACCTTCAAGATTTGCAAGGAAAAACAGGTTGCAGGGAGGTGCTCTGGGTTACTTTGAAAAGACCTCACATGCTGACTTGTGCTGACTCAAGCTGAGGAAAGCTAGAACATTCCTCTGCTGGAGATGGCCTCCTTGTTTAGAGTCCTTCTGACACTGTAATTTGGGTCTGACAACAGGAAGTTCCTTTGTAGTTTAAGTCAATGGGAACCAATTTTTTTTTCTTTTTTTTGCGATAGAGTCTCACTCTGTTTCTTAAGATGGAGTACAGTGACTCAGTCATGGCTCACTGCAGCCTCAACTTCCTGGGTTCAGGTGATCCTCCTGCCTCAGCCTCCTGAGCAGCTGGGACCACTGGTATGCACCACCATACCTGGCTAAGTTTTTAATAGAAATGGGGTCTTGCTAAGTTGCCCAGGCTAGGGAACCAGTTTTTAAGTTTTTGAAATATGCTTGGAAATATAAATATTGGTGAGCGGAGCAGACCAGGAGATCAATAATTTATGTTCTCTGCTTGTTAGTTGTGTATATAGCATGTTCTTTTGTCTCTCTTAATGATGTTTGGGGTGAGGGTGTGGGAGAGGAAGGTAGGGAGCCTTCCAACAAGAAGCTAGTGCTCCTCCAGCCTAGAGAAGCTAAAACATGCAAAGCCAGACCCCATCCCTGGAAATTCTGATTTAATTGGTGGGGGAAGGCATGTGAATTCTCACAGAGGGTCCGGTTTGCAGCAGGACTGGTGATTTCTTTCCAGGTGCCTTGTTTTGTTAGACCATGTGGTCACTTAATAATTTTTTTTGGGCCAGGTACAGTGGCTCATACCTGTAATCCCAGTGCTTTAGGAGGCAAGGCAAGAAGATCGCTTTAGGCCAGGAGTTCAAGACCAACTTGGGCAACATAATGAGACCTTGTCTTTAAAAAAAAAAAATTTTTTTTTTTTTAATTAGCCAGGGGTGGTGTGTGCCTGTAGTTCTAGCTACTTGGGAAGCTGAGGCAGGAGGATCATTTGAGCCCAGGAGTTCGAGGCTGCAGTGAGCTATGATCATGCCACTGCACTCCATCCAGCCTGGGCAACAGAGCAAGATCCTATTTCTAAAACAAAACAAAACAAAACAAAAAATGTAACTTGATACCTGTGACTTTCTGAAACTAACAGCTGTTTGAAGAAATATATTTCTATTACCGTTCTTGTGTTTGATGGAAAGAGTTTATGAATAACTTTGGTTTCAAGCCTTCCAATTATATTCTGGAAAATACCTGTGTCTTAAAGAGATAGTGTCTAGGGAGAACTGAATCACTGCAGAGTTCTTCACCTGTATGTGTGGGTATGTCTAGTCTTTTTGCAAGTAATGAATTTCATTAGAAAGATATTAAGTGCTTGTCATGAGCAAGCCCCTGTGCCAGAAACTCAATATAAATCATTTCATTTTCTCACCCATATGGTGAAGTAGTTGATGAGGACACTGAAGCTCAGCCATTTGCTCAAAGTCATGGCTAATGGAGGGAGGATTCAAACCCACATCAGCTTGATTTCAAAGCCTAATAGTCCTGCCACTGTCAACACCCTGCCTAGATCATGATTATTTGGAATCACTGGGAAAGAATTTTTTTTTCATGAAGTTAGAAGCCTAAGAATTTTTTTCAATGGAATTTTATAAAAATGTCCTTGAATCACAGATGGCTCTCCCTGGAAACATAGGTTTGTTTGAGAGTCACCTCTTTTATTGTCTTAATAAATAGACTAAGAGCCATCACAAGGGCTACTGTGGCTAGAGAACATATGACTCGGGCCGGGCATTGTGCAGGCATTTGACCTGCATTCCTTCACCCCGGTTCCTGTAACATGTACCTGGTGCTGTGGGGTTACAGCTGATAATGCTGAGGTTTCCAGAGCACATGCTTCCAAGTCCAGTGGAGAAAATCCCAAGAAGTCCAATATTCAATGACTGTTCCTTATTGCAAAATAAGCCCAGAAACAAAGTAGCTGTGAACAGGCTGCACCAGCCCCAGCAGCAATTTCCATTTAAACCATTTTGCACAGATCCCGTGCTCAGCGCTCTCGCCAGTTTCTCCACTTGCTGTTTAGTAAGGCCATCATTGTTGGCAGGAAGTGGGTTCCACCTTCCCTGTTGCCTGAGCACAATGTGCTCCTATGTGGTCTCCACTTTCCTGCTGCCTAGTTGGCTGGGCTTCTCCAGCTGGGCCTTGGAGGCGACCTTTGTCCCACATGCCAGCCCTCCCCACGTTGCAGAACACTATGTAACTGCAGCGTGTGCTGAATTTCCTCTTCTGTGCTCAACCCTAGCAAGAGCCAGTCAACCCTGAATGAGAATGTGGCAATGGAGCTGTTTTTTTCTTTTATCCCCAAGTCACAAGAAATTGGAAACATTCCATTAAGTGGCGTGATTTGAGAGGGTTTCGCCAAATCTTTTCAGGGGAGAGAAGCCAGGTGACCTGATAGCGATCACCTTCCCATTCACGGTTTTCAATGGGGGCTTGTTTCTCAAATGACCAACACCTGTAGGCAGTTAATTTTCAGCATGTCACAGGAGGGCCCAGATGACTTTCTGCCTACTGCTTACGACAACATGGACTTTAGATGCCTCATGGCTTCAACAGCTAAGAATTATGAAATAAAGCGAGTTATGGGATTAAAAGGCAGATAGCAGAACTCTCCCAGGAGTAGCCAGGGCTGCACAAGTGGTTTGACGTGGGATCTTTCTCATCTTTGCCCCGGGTTGTTGCTGCTTTGAAGGTTAAGTGCTCCAGGGATATTTTTAAACAGCAGGGGCTGATTAATCTAAAAGTGACATTTGCAGTCCCCAGAGTAAGCAGCTAGCAGGCTTAGATTCAGGCCCTCAGCAAACAAGGAACCTGGAAAATGTAACCCTGAATGCACGGTGGGGAGGACATGGCAAGAGAAAAGCGGCAGGAATAAAGTGGTAAGTCAGCTCGCCCCTCCCCGGGGTCCGGACCATTCTGCCAACGTCCAGGTAAATTCGAACCCAATGTATAGTGAGAGCAGACCCTGTCTGAAGGCATGCACTTGGGGTCCCCGGGGAAAAACGACTCCCGTCATGTTTGAAGGAAGCTAATCAGAAGAGCTCGAAATGTAACGCAGATGAAAGAGAAGGGCCTTTCTTTGCTTCTATAAATGGTGGTGTGGATCCCTGGACATGCTCCCATATAAGTTCCACAACGTTTTATAAACAATTCTGTTTTTTGCCTCCAAAGCTACTGTCTTAAGGAATAGTATTCTGTTTCTGTTTCCTCAAATGGTTGTTCTTTTTTTTTTTTTTTTTTTTTTTAAAGCAGACTAAGGCTGGGCACGGTGGCTCATGCCACCCAGCACCTTGGGAGGCAGAGGCAGGTGGATCACTTGAGGTCAGGAGTTCGAGACCAGCCTGGCCAACATGGCGAAACCCCATCTGTACTAAACACATAAAAATTAGCCAGATGTGGTGATGGGCACCTGTAATCCCAGCTACTTGGGAGGCTGAGGCAGGAGAATCGCTTGAACCCAGGAGGTGGGGGTTGCAGTGAGCTAAAATTGCGCCACTGCATTCCAGCCTGACTGACAGAGCAAGACTCTGTCTCAAAAAAAAAAAAAAAGAAAAGAAAAAGAAAAAAAGGAGACTAAGAGTAAAGCGTTTGTAGTGGTCCTATATCCTATATTTCTAGGAAGACATGACTTTCTTTCAATGTTGAAAAAATGCATTCCAAAATAATATGCAAGTTAAAAAGTCACTCAGCACCGTGCAAAAGTCTCCTTGCTGTTATTCCTGTCTAACCCTCCTCCTCCAGGTAGCCACTGTGCACATTTTGGTATAAACCCCCCAGACCTTTTATTCTGTACACTCACACTGTACACAACTCTCTCCCTCATGTCTATTGTGATTACTTTTATTTTTTAATATCAATGGGCATCCATATAGGTTGGGTGACCAACCATCCCACTTTGCCCAGGACCGGGGAATTCCCGGGACATGGGACTTGCAATTTAAAAACTGAAAGGTGAAGATATTATTATTATCATTATTATTTGAGATGGAGTGCTCACTGCAAGCTCCGCCTCCTGGGTTCACGCCATTCTCCTGCCTCAGCCTCCCAAGTAGCTGGGACTACAGGCACCCACTACCACGCCCGGCTAATTTTTTTTGTATTTTTAGTAGAGACAGGGTTTCACTGTGTTAGCCAGGATGGTCTCGATCTCCTGACCTCAAGTGATCCGCCCGCCTCGGCCTCCCAGAGTGCTGGGATTACAGGCATGAGCCACCGCGCCTGGCCAAAGATATCATTTTATAAATTGCATGTTTCTGCTAATAGTGACATGGAGTTCTTTACAAGATTTCTTTTTATGACTTCTCCAAGTTTTAAGTGGAAAGACCCAGCCAATCCTAATTCATGTGATTTAGAGATGAAAATATCTCTAATCTGTAACTTTCTTTCAGAAGCTCTTAAGAGTTTTATTTGCTCCTGCTCAGGTGTTGTGTAAACTCGCTCATACTTTCAACACCTTTAGGTCTGAGACAGAAATTTGAGTATTACATTACATGAGATACCCAGTCTTCATGGGGAAATAAACATTTTAATCTTTTGAAATGGAGGTTTCCTTGAAGTCTTATCCCAGTAGAAACTTTGACCTTGTTCTTTTTTTTTTTTTTTTTTTGAGACAGAGTCTCGTCCTGTCACCCAGGCTGGAGTGCGATGGCACAATCTCAGCTCACTGCAACCCCTGCCTCCCAGGTTCAAGCAATTCCTCAGTCTCAGTCTCCCGAGTAGCTGGGATTGCAGGCAAGCACTACCACGCCCAGCTAATTTTTGTATTTTTAGTAGAGATGGGGTTTTGCCATGTTGGCCAGGCTGGTCTCGAACTCCTGACCTCAAGTGATCTGCTCACCTTGGCCTCCCAAAGTGCTGGGATTACGGGCATGAGCCACTGCACCCGGCCTGGAATACCTTGTTCTCATGCTTCCTCTGAATTTGTGATTCAGTGACTTGTTACTTCAAAGTAGAGTTCACCTGTACCCAGGGAAACCAGGAAACAGAGTTAGAAATATTGCATTTGATCGGAAAAATGTATGCACATTTCACATCCTATCCTAATAGATCTCTCTGTTTGCAGTGATAATAGTAAATTTATGACCGTAGAGTAAGGTGATTTTCTAGGAAGATAGACCGTGTTCATTTATTCCAGGAATCCAGGGATCCTTGTATCAGAGAATCCAGGCTGGGCACAGCAGAGAAACCAAGGTATTGATTATTGGGTAGTTGGCATACCCCAGGTATGCCATAATAATTATGGGATCTCACATAATTTTGAGGACAATCCTAGGAAGGAGATTTTATTTATTCCATTCCACAGGCCAGGAAACCAAGGTTCAGAGAATTTCCATGATGGGCTCAGGCCAATCAGATAACAAATGGCAAAGCCTCCACCCAAGTCTGCTGTACTCCAGAAGTCCTGCTCTCTGGGCTCATACCTTAGCCACTCTGACCCTTGCTGGGGCCCCAGAAAACAACTACACATAGAAAAGGTCTCTTCAGGCCAGACACAGTGGCTCACGCCTGTAATCCCAGCACTTTGGGAGGCTGAGGAGCTAGATCACTTGAGGTCAGGAGTTTGAGACCAACCTGGCCAACATGGTGAAACCCTTTCTCTACTAAAAATACAAAAATTAGCTGGGTGTGGTGGCTAGTGCCTGTAAACCCAGCGACTTGGGAGGCTGAGGTAGGAGAATCACTTGAACACAGGAGGTGGAGCTTGCCGTGAACCGAGATGGTGCCACCGCACTCCAGCCTGGGCAACAGAGCAAGACTCTGTCTCAAAAAAAAAAAAAAAATGATTTTGAGACAGGGCTGGGTGGCTCACGCCTATAATCCCAGCACTTTGGGAGGCTGAGGCAGGCAGATCACTTGAGGTCAGGAGTTCAAGGCCAGCCTGACCAACATGGCAAAACCCTGTCTCTACTAAAAATACAAAAATTAGCCAGTTATGGTGGTGCGCCTGTAATCCCAGCTACCTGGGAGGCTGAGGCAGGAGAATCGCTTGAAACTGGGAACCAGACGTTGCAGCAAGCTGAGATCGCGCCACTGCACTCTAGCCTGGGCGACAGAGCGAGACTCCATCTCAGAAGAAAAAAAAAAAGGATTAAAGGATTTTCCACCACTCCTGTTGAACTAATTAAGCTCCATATTTTTAAATTAAATAATGAGTGAAGGTGATATCAGAGGACAACTTGAACACACTCTCCTTTCTATTTAGAAGCAAATCAGCTGCAGACTTCAATACTAGCTATTATAGAATAATCAGTTGTTGGACATGCCCCTCCCAACTGACCTAGAAGGCTTTCTCTGCTGTGTTATAAGGAAGGCTTCGGTCTTTTATTTCCATACTCCCCACAAAGTGAGGCTTTTGGAGCTCTTCTGATATGGAGAGCTGCCCATGCAAGGTGGAAACAGGCCTCCAGGGCCAATCAGTTTGGGAAACACCAGGCTGCCTGTGGTTTACAGCAGGACTTCTCAGAGCCTTTACTATGCTAAATGCAGTGGGACTCTCCAAGATGTGACATTGGGATTTGGCCCTAGAAATGTTATTTTTTGGCAAGGGTGGGGACCATCTTTCAGGATTGGTATTCATAGCCACCTCTTGCAAAACATGGAACCGTTTCATTCCATGCCTTCCTCATCTCCTTGCAGGATCCTGGGAGGCAGGACCATGGAGTGGATGAGGTTCACAGGCTCGAGCTCTTGAGCAGGGGGCAAGGGGTGTGTGTGTGCATGTGTGTATGCATGCATGTGTGTGTGTATGTGTGTGTGTGTAAATAGAGCACTGTCTCCCAGGGTTCTGGATGAATTTGAACAGGGAGAAAGTAGAATTGATTCAGTGAGATCTGCTAACAGGCTGTTGCACTAGCTCAGCCTTGGAGTGAGGCAATGGTGGGCGTAGGGGAAGGGATGAAGAAAACACACCCACACACGTGTGCCACACACGTGCACACCTGGAGCTGGAGGGCCCAGCCCGGGGCCCAGCTCTGCCACTCACTGATGTGACTCTGAACAACAGACTTTCTCTCTGTGCCTCATCTTATCATTTTTGTGAACATTTAAAGAGATAACACACACAAAGTGCACAGCATAAGACTCAGTGTGTAGGAGGTGCTCAACAAACATCAGCTTTCTTTTTTATTTTTTTGAGACATAGTCTTGCTCTGTTGCCCAGGCTGGGGTGCAGTGGCGTGATCTCAGCTAACTGCAACCTCCACCTCCCAGGTTCAAGCGATTCTCCTGCCTCAGCCTCCCAAGTAGCTGGGACCACAGGTGCATATCACCACACTCGGCTAATTTTTGTATTTTTAGTAGAAACAGGGTTTCACCATGTTGGCCAGGCTGGTCTCGAACTCCTGACCTCAAGTGATCTGCCCGCCTAGGCCTCCCAAAGTGCTGGGATTACAGGCATGAGAGACCACACCTGCCAGCTTTCATTCTTATTCAACATGCTTTTATGGGTTCCTTGAGGGACTACTATATGCCTCCTAGTGTATACTGGAGTTACAAAAGAACCCTATTTTCAGAGTTGCAAATAGACTGGGGAAGGGGTCGGGGGAGATGAAGTCAGAAATTGATGATAAATCTGTGCCCCTCTGGGTTTTAAGCCTTGCCTGCTCTCACAGATCTTACCTTCTAGTGGGGGACACTGGTAGATGTGTAATAATGACCCACATAACTACAACCTATGATGAGTGCCAGGAGGAAGAGATCAGGGAACTGTGGGGCATAGAGCAAGAGCATGGTGTTCCATGGCATCTCTCTGGTGGCCCCTGATACAGCAGTATGAGGGAGCAGCCAGCAGGGGTTCAACAGCCGTGCAGATGCCTGTGCCCAGGGCCTCACCTGGACACTCCCAGCCCCAAGGACTCAGTGGAGCAGGAGGATTCCCCAGGTAGGCAGCAGGGGTGGGGGTGGCACAGACACACCTGAGCTGGGTGCAGGCCTCCAGCAAGTGTTCACTGACCCTGACGCTTCTGTGTGCTAGGCACTGTGCTGGAGAGCCCAGAGCAAGACAGAGCCACTCCTTGCCCTTAGGAAGCTTCTATTCCAGTGGAGAAGAGGCATAAACTCATTGGTGAATGCAGAGAGTCAGGTCAGCACGTGATGAATGGCACGTGTCCTACAGAATAAGACCACTGAGTATCAGGGTGGGTTTGAGGTGGGGACACTGAAGCCAACCATCAGAAAAAGAGCAAGAGATAACCATGCAAAGGACAGAAGTGGGGGCAGGGAAGGGAAGAACATTCCAGAACATTCCAGGCAGCATGTGCAGAGGAACGTAGAGGGGTCAGTGTGGCAGAGGCCGGTTTGCCAGGGCCATGTAGACCATGGAAAGGGGTGCAGTGAGCAATCATTGAAAAGGTGAAATTCAGTTTATCTGCTTACTACCCGGGTGAGTGACTTTGCGTCACTTCAACTTCTCGAACCCAGAACTTCCTCATCAATAAAACGAGGCTTCCCCTGCTACTGGTCTCACAAGGTGGAATGAGACAATGATTATAAAATGCTTCATATAGGCCAGGTATGGTGGTTCATGCCTGTAATCCCAGTGCTTTGGGAGGCCAAGGCGGGAGGATTGCTTGAGTCCCTGTCTGTATAAAATATAAAAAGTTTCGCTGGGCGTGGTGGCACATGCCTGTAATCCCAGTGCTTTGGGAGGCCGAGGAGGGGGATTGCTTGAGCCCAGGAATTCAAGGCTGCAATGAGCTATGATTGTGCCACTGCACTCCAGCCTAGGCGCCAGAGTCAGACATTGTCTCAAAAAAAAAAAAAAAAAAAAAAAAAGATGCTGAATACAGAGCCTAGCACAAATTAGTACTCATAAGTATTAGCTATTAATATTCAGGTTTCAGTCAGCTGGTGGGTACTTGCATTGTATTTTATGAACTTTTTAACTTTTTGGTATAGGAAAAAAAGTTGACCTGTTTTTTTTTAACACCTTCAGAAGCAGAGTAAATAGCACAGTGGTCCCCCAATGCATTCATCAGCCAGCTTCAATAACCATTGCCTTTCTGCCCTTCTAGTTTCATCTTCCTATACCCATTTTCCCTATATTATTCCCCCAACATTTTATTATAAAAAAATTTAAGCTGGGTGCAGTGGCTCATGCCTGTAATCCCAGCACTTTGGGGGCCAAAGTGGGCGGATCACGAGGTCAGGAGATCGAGACCATCCTGGCTAACATGGTGAAACCCCGTCTCTACTAAAAATACAAAAAATTAGCCGGGCGTGGTGGCAGGTGCCTGTAGTCCCAGCTACTCAGGAGGTTGAGGCAGGAGAATGGCATGAACCCAGGAGGCGGAGCTTGCAGTGAGCCGAGATCGCACCACTGCACTCCAGCCTGGGCGACAGAGCGAGACTCCATCTCAAAAAAAAAAAAAAAATTTTTAAACATACAAGTTGAAAGAATTTTACAGTGGGTGCCCATATACCCCTGATTAGATTCTGCCATTACCATTTTTCTGTATTTGTCACCTGTAAATTGCAGATATCAGTGTCTTTATCCTTGAATACTTCAACATGCATGTCATTAATTAGAGCTCCAGAGTTTTTTTTGTTTGTTTGTTTATTTGTTTGTTTTAAGAGACAGGGTCTTAGGCCGAGCGTGGTGGCTCACATCTGTAATTCCAGCACTTTGGGAGGCCGAGGCGGGCAGATCACTTGAGGCCAGGAGTTTAAGACCAGCCTGGCCAACATGGAAAAACGCCCATCTCTACAAAAAATACAAAAATTAGCCAGGCCTGGTGGCATGCACCTGTAATCCCAACTACTCAGGAGGCTGAGGCAGGAGAATCTTTTGAACCTGGGAGGCAGAGGTTGCATTGAGCCAAGATTGTGCCACTACACTCCAGCCTGGGTGACAGAGTGAGACCCTGTCTCAAAAAAAAGAAAAGAGACAGGGTCTCACTCTGTCGCCCAGGCTGGAGTGCAGTGGCACAATCTCGGCTCACTTGCAGCCTCTACTACCCTGGGCTCCCATCTCAGCCTCCAGAGTAGCTGGGACTACAGGGACACACCACCACGCCTGGCTAATTTTTTTTTTTTAATTTTTATTTTTTAGGTAACAGAGTTTGCCATGTTGCTCGGGCTGGTCTTGAACTCCTGGGCTCAAGCGATCCTCCTGCCTTGGCCTCCCAAAGTGCTGGGATTATAGATGTGAGCCACTGCATCTGGCCCCCAGACTATTTTCAAGCAATTCTCACAGCTAGATGTCACACTGTTTTGCCCGTAATACTTTAGCACACATTTCTAAAAGACACAAGTTTTTTTTTTAAACCATTGCCATAATTATATCTATCTAACAGAATGAATGATAATTCCTTAATCTAGTACCTAGTTCATGCTGACTGTCCTCCAGGTGGCTCAAAGATGTCTTTGAATGGTTTTATTCAAATCAGGACCCACAGGGTTTCTCTTAAGTCTCCTCATCTGTAATAATCAGCAACTCCCTTTATTAAATGCCAGTTACTTATTGAAACTGGGTCATTTGTCCCGTAGAATTTTCCATATTCTGGATTTGGCTGATTGCATCTTCCAAGTGTCATCTAACATGTTCTTCTATACCTATAAATAAGTACTAGGTCAAGAGGCTTGAATCAATTCAGGTGCAGATCCTTAGCAGGAATACTTTGAAGGTGTTTTTCTGTTTTCTCTTGCATCACGTCAAGAACATAAAGTTCAGTTACCCCACTTTTAGTGATTTTTGTTCATTAGTGAGTTTAGGGTATCAGTCTGACCTCCGTCGTAAAGTTCCCTATCACCCTCTTGCCGAATGACTTTACTGCCTGCTGATGAGCAAAGCCCAGATTATTGTTTCGTTACTATAGTGATTTTCTACTTCCGTCAATCTTTCTGTGCTTATTAGCTCTTGTTGTTTTTTGTTGTTGTTGTTGTTGTTTCTGGTTTTGTTTGTTTGTTTTGAGACAGGGTCTCTCTCTGTCATCCAGGCTAGAGTGCAGTGGCACAATCTTGGCTCACTGCAACCTCAACTTGTCAGGTTCAAGCGATCCTCCTGCCTCAGCCTCTTGAGTAGCTGGGACCACAGGCGCTCGCCACCATGCCTGGCTAATTTTATGTATTTTTGATAGAGATGAGGTTTCACTACATTGCCCAGGCTGGTCTCAAACCTGAGCTCAAACGATACTCCCGCCTTGGCCTTCCAAAGAGCTGGCATTACAGGCATGAGCCACTGTGCCCGGCCCAACTCTCATTGTTCTCTACCACACGACTTTCCTCAAGCATTTGCTTACCCTGAAATACAGTCCCTGAAAGGCAGAGTACATGGTTGATTATGTCCTTTTTTTGTGTGTGGGCGGGGCTAAGTCTATTTTCAGAGTAATGAGTAGCCCTAGCAGCCATGAAAAGTATCAACGAGTTGTTTTTGTTTTGAGGGGTGTTACGACCTTATGGTTTTTAAAGATATTTTGATGTGTTTCAATCCACTGCAGTCATCATCCGTTTGCAGCCTCTCTTTGGTAGCCCATGCCCCTGGAGGGTCCTTGTTTTCAGGCAAGAAGATATCTCAGCTCATCATGTACATTTCTGCCCCAGCCCTAGAATCAGACATTTCTCCAAGGAGTCCTGGTTCCTTTCAGTGGGAAATGTTCTTAGAGACATTATAATCTGGACACTAACGATGTCTGTGGAATTTTTACAAGATCGCCTTGGCTTCTCTGTGCATGATGAACTGGAGGGACAAGACCAGGCCAGAGAGACAGGTCAAGAGACTTTCGCAGTGGCCCAAGTGAGATATAACAGTGGCTTGAACTTGATCTTAGGTAAATCACTTAGCGCAATGCTTGGTACATGATGGAGAGCACCATAAATGGTAGCACACTCTTTCATCAATGACTTGATCTGTATTAGTTTACTTAAACTCCAAAACTGTATGAGGAAGACTTCCTTATCATTGTATACATGAGAAAACCCAAGCTCAGAGAGGTGAGGAAACTTGTTCAAGGTCACACAGGAAATGAACAGCAGAAATAGAACCTGAATCCAGATCTCGTGCTCTAACCAATGCACTGTGTCGCCCAGAGGGTTCTTGGTTTCACACTCAAAAATGACTTACATTTTGGTGCAAAACCTGATCCATCACGAGTTCATGGCGATTCTCCTGGTTGTGCCCTCAGGTTTGTGATTTTATTTGCTTCCCAGTGAGATCATAAACCCACGAGGGCAGGGCTGGGCCATTCCTGCCTGTTTGCTCCATGTCTCCAGCAGCGTGTACCACACCTGGCAGGTGCTCAGGAAATACCTGCTGATGAATGAGTGAATGGCTGAAGAAGGCAAATTCACAGCACAGCAGGGGGAGAAGCGAAGAAGGATAGGATTCCACCTGTGAAGATGGCAAGGACCAGAACTTAGGAGAGCTGAACAGTGGACTTCAGCAATTTCTGCAGGGATAATTCAAGTGAGAGGCTAGCCAGACAGATCAGACTGATAGGCCTTTAGACTGCGGAACATGTTTTCCATTGGAGGTGGAAAAACGGCTCCTCTTACCTTCCTTCAAGGCAGGGGCCGATCTGGAACCATTCAGGCCAGTTTTGCTTGGGATGGCAGATTCACCACATCAAGAATTTGATCTGAACCAGGCATGGTGGCTTATGCCTGTAATCCCAGAACTTTGGGAGGAAGAGGTGGGAAGATTGCTTGAGGACAGGAGTTCAAGACCAGCCTGGGCAACACAGAAAGACCCTATCTCTACAAAATATAAAAAAGATTAGCTAGATGTCGTGGTGTGCACCTGTAGTCCCAGCTATTTGGGAGGCTAAAACAGGAGGATTGCTTGATCCCAGGAGTTCGAGGCTGCTGTCAGTTACAATTGTGCCACTGGACTCCAGCCTGGGTGACAGAGAGAGACCTTGTCTCTACACACACAAAAAAAATAAAAAATAAAAAGAAAGAAAAAAGAAGTTTGGTTTGTCTCAACAGGCATTAATTGAGCACCTACAGTGTACCAGGCATTGTGGATGTGCATCT